>NW_025791757.1:0-210426 GCF_000001405.40 Homo sapiens
AGTCAATAATAATTTAATTGTACATTTTAAAATAATTTAAAGGGTGTAATTGGATTGTTTGTGATTCAAAGGATAAATGCTTGAGGGGATAGATGCCCCATTCTCTATGCTGTGATTATTTCACATTGCATGCCTGTATCAAACCCCATCTCATGTACCTCATAAATATGTATACCTACTATGTACCCACAAAAATTAAAACAAAAAGAAAGAAAAAGAAAAAGAAAAGTAAATGAAATAGATTACAAGGCAAAAGTAACAACAATAGCATGGTTGAGTTTAAAAGAGACACATAGTCCAGTGGAACAGAGTATAGAACAGAGAAATAAATCCATGTATTTACAGCCAACTGGTTTTCCACAAAGGCTCCAAGAACATACACTGGGTGTTGGACATTATTTTCAATGAATGGTGCTGGGAAAACTGGATATCTACATGCAAAAGTATGAAACTGGACCCCTATTTCTCACCATATACAAAAATAAACTGAAGATGAATTATGAACTTATACATAAGACCTGAAACTATAAAACTATTAGATAAAAACACACAGAAAACACTTCAGAACATTAGGCAAATATTTTATGGCTAAGACATCAAAAACACACACAATGAAAATGAAAACAAAAACAAAAGCAGACAAATGGGAAAATATTATTAAATAAAAAAACTTCTACATGGCAAAGGAAACAATCAATGGAGCAAAGAAACAACTTGTTGAATGGAAGAAAATATTTGCAAACTATTCATCTGATAAAGAACTAACATCCAAAATATACTCAAATAGTAAAAAGCAATCACATTAAAAAGTGTGCAAAGGACATACATAGACATTTCTCAAAAGAAGAAATGCAAATGGCTAACAGGTTTTTTTTTTTTAATGCTCAACATTACCAGTCACAAGGGAAATATAAGTCAAAACCAGAATGAGATATCATCTTACCCCAGTTAGAATGACTGTTATTAAAAGGAAAACACAAGAGACGTTGGCAAGAATGTGGAGAAAAGAAAACTTATATACTGTTGGTGGCAATGTAAGTCAGTACAGCCACTATGGAAAACAGTATGGAGATGTCACCAAAAAAACCCAAAAACAAACAAACAAACAAACAAAACTAACTAAAAATAGGACTACCATACCATCTAGCAATCCCACTACTGGGTATTTATCAAAAGAAAAGGAAATCCATATATCAAAGGGATGCCTACATTTGCATGTTTATAGCAACAGTATTTACAATAGCAAAGATATGAGATCAACCAAATTGTCCATCAGTGAATGAAAATGTAGGGTATGTGCACAATAAAGTACTATTATGCCTTTAAAAAAACTGAAATTTTGTTATTTGCAGCAACACAGATGTAAATGGATGTCATTATGTTAAGTGATGTATGCCAGGCACAGAAGGACAAATATTGAATAGTTTCACTTACATATGGGAGCAAAAAAAGTTGATCTCACGGAGATAGAGAGAAGAATGATAGCTACCAGAGACTGAGAAGTGTGCGTAGATGGTTGTTGATGGAAGAAGAGAGGTTGTTAATGGGTACAAACATACAGTTAGATATAAGAAATGTTTTAATATTTGATAGCAGAGTAACTGACTATATATAACAATGTATTGTATATTTCAAAATAGCTTTGAGAGAGAACTGAAAGGTTTCCAACACATACAAATAATAAACAGGCTGGACACTCTAGCTCATTCCTGTAATCCCAGCACTTTGGGAGGTCAAGGGAGTAGGATATTTGAGGCCAGGATTTTGAGACTAGCCTGAGCAAGAGTGATATCCCATCTCTACAAGAATAATAATAATAATTAGCCAGGTGTGGTGGTATGTGCCTGCAGTCCCAGTTACTTAGGAGGCTGAGGTGGGAAAATTTCTTCAGCCCAGGAGGTCGAGACTGCAGTGAGCCATGATTACTCCACTGCACTCCAGCCTGGGTGACAGAGTGAAACCCTATCTCCAAAAATTTTTTTGTAAAATTACAAATAAAAATTTGAGTTGATGAATACCCTATACATCAACTTGATCATGACACATTATATGCATATAACAAAATATTATACATATGCCATAAATATGTACACATATTATGTATCAACATAAAAAATATAAAAAATAAACTGGCATCACAGCTATGAAAATAAATTGAATTGTTAAATGGCAGTTGATACAGACTTCAGGTAAAATGATAACTAAGCTACATGGCTGAATAAAATGTTTAGAATGCAACTGAGAAAGCAGAGAGATCTAAAATATATGAAAGAGATTAGGAGATACAAATAATAAAATGAGCAGGTCTAATTTAAATCATGTTGAAAATTCAGAAGTAGAAAAGAGGGAAAACAAAGATACAATATTTGAAATAAAGACTTTGAATTTTATAGAAATGATAAAGTGAGATCAGGAGGGATGGCTCATACCTATAATCCAACACTTTGAGAGGCCAAGGCAGGAGGATTGCAGGAGGATTCCTTGAGCCCAAGGAGTTTGAGACCAGCCTCGGCAACACAGCGAGACCCTGTCTCTACAAAAAAAATTTTTTAAATTAGCCAGGTGTGGTGGCGTGTGCCTGTAATCCCAGCTATTCAAAGGCTGAGGTGGGAGGATCATTTGAGCCCAGGAGGTCGAGGGAACAGTGAGCCATGATTGTGCCATTGCACCCCAGGCTGAGGGACAGAGAGAAACCCTGTCTCAAAAAAATATATAGAAATAAGTAAAAATAAAAACATAACAAAATTGGGAAATGCAGATACATGTGGGAGATCAAAAAAGTGTGATAAATAAAACGGGATATTTATATACAAACAAGAATAGTGTGGCCGGGCGCAATGGCTCACGCCTGTAATCCCAGCACTTTGGGAGGCCGAGGTGGGCGGATCACGAGGTCAAGAGATTGAGACCATCCTGGCTAACATAGTGAAACCCCGTCTCTACTAAAAATACAAACAATTAGCCCAGTGTGGTGGCAGGCGCCTGGTGGGAACCAGGGTGGCGGGCGCCTGGTGGGAAGGGCGCCTCGTGGGAACCCGGGGGGGCGGAGCTTGCAGTGAGCCGAGATGGCGCCACTGCACTCCAGCCTGGGTGACAGAGCGAGGCTCCGTCTCAAAAAAATAAAAAGAAAGAAAGCAAAGAAACAAAAATCCTGTAGACATATGACTGATGTGCACAATTTACTCAATTGCATTTGCTAATCATATTAATCATATTACAAAGATCGTTATGATTGATATAACACAGGGTTAGTAATAACCTTGAATGAATGTATTCAGAGAAATACCCTATGCAACATGTAAAACTATTTGGGGGACTATCAAATGCATTTCTAGTTGTAAATTTTCATCACTTTTGATAAACCTTAATTATTCTCCTCCAAAGAGTCTGAACAATCTTGAATATTTGTTATCAGCATAGGTTAAGACTAAAGGACTAATTATGGCATAGTTATTGACCACAGGCATATGGAATCATACCAGTAGAGGGTCGTTTATCCATGTCACAACCACTGAAAATGAGAATATGAAGTCCACCCAATATAAGAAGACAAAACAGCTCACCAACAATAGGATGGTCTGGGAGGCCCTTTTTGCTGGGGAGGCTCTTGGGGAGACGCTGGTGCTATGTAGGTGCTGGGACAGTCTCTTTTGTTTGTACAAAATAATCACCCATAGCCACTTGAGAGGACCATGAGTCCTATGAAGATGACATCCCTCAAAACCATTAGTATGAAAAACAGGCTCCTGTGGGTGTAGCTCATGGGCAAAACATAACAGTGCTCAGTGACAAACAAAAGACTGGCCCCAATCCTATTCGGGGTAGGCACAATGAAAAGCAAAAGGTTATTAGTAATGAACATGTTGAGGACCCATGAGAAGAGGATGAAGCCTAAGGTGTGATTTGCAGAAATATGTTTAAACTTTTCCAAGAAGGAGGTGCTGGGGCTGATGGTGATGGCCTGGAGCACGCTTAGGAGGCAAGTGGTGCAGATGGAGACTCCCCTCATCACCCTGTTTAAAAATGTGATGATCTTACACTTTAGATCATTGTTCTGAATATTCCATGATTCAAATAAGTCGGAGGACACCAGTATCGCCTGAGTGAAGAGTAGCAGTATGTGGATTAGGGGCAAGTGACTAATGGTCATGTCAATGGGCTTAAGCCTGTGAGTATAAGCAAAAGTGAAGATGTGGAAAAGAAGGAGGAAGGTGTTTGCTGAGATTCCAAAGCTGACTTGAGGGTAATAAACATTTTTAATGACAATATAGCTGAAAAGCTTGGTCATTTCCATGGAAAATTAAAACAAATAAAGGATATCTGTAGAGAAAAATAAGACATCAAATGATAATTGCATTAGGAACATTTCTGCCATGTTGTTAATTAGTATCATTATGTTCAATAATCTCTGTGATCTGGAATAAAAAATGTCGATTAAATCTGAGTAGTTTATTACTCTTTGCTAAATATTCAACGCAACCATGTAATTCTCCAGATACTTGCTGTCCGTCTCCCATTCCCACCCCTGTGGTTCTCCCTCTGTTCCCTTTCCTGGGCTCCCACAAAATCTATGCTTTCCTCCATAGCAACATTTGCCCTCTTGATGGAAAACTGATGGTTTCTCTTGTACATGTCCACAAGTACCTCAAGGGCAGGAAGGAGCTTGGATTTCTGCTGTGCACAAACTTTTTCTACCTATAGATATCTGTCAAACAAAATCAAAGTATGTGTTGGGCAAGTGGAAAAAGTAAATTAACTCAACAGGACCATTTCGATCTTTATCTCGTCTTCTCTGGGGCTCCTTTCCTGGTGCACTTGGGGATGGAGAAATAAAATGACTCAATGATTTTCACTGAACAGTAACTATTATTGACAGTGGCAGAGCAGCTTCTTACATATATCTTGGTACGTAGCTTACATAGATTCTGCAGAAAAATAACAAAACCTTAAGGTCTATAAACAGTTAAAACTCTCACATTCAAACATGGGCACTTATTGTGGTAAATGCAGCTTTGACCCCATGCATGATGGTGAAAACCCTGGAAGCATGCCGGGAGAGTGGCAATGTGCACCAAGGGCCTTCCTTGACTGACTACGCAGCCCTTGTTTCCACGGAAGACCATTTAGCCGGTGCTGGGCACCAAGCCTGGTCCTCAGTCATGCTCAATAGTGGGATTCATAGCATCATCACAACTACCTGGGCTCTGCTCCTGGTCACAAGAAAAGGAAGGAGAACAAAGTAAGGGCAGCTGCTCAGCAGAATCAGACCAGGCTTGACAGAGTTGACTGTGGTGGGACATGGTGTAGCGTAAGGAAATGACGATGTGTGCTTCTATATCCTGGGTTGTTAAATCAGAACATAATGCACCTGTCTAGGAACCTTGTAAAGTGTAAAACATAAAAACTGCATAAAGCACTTAAATCAGTGTCAGGCATACAAAGACCTAAAAGTGAATCCTGTCAATCATAAAATAATAGCTACTTTGTCATAATCATTTTGGCAAATATCATCATCATTTTTAAAACTTAGTTTACTGTCTCATGGAAAAAAGTGGATGTGTTTGGGTGATAAAATTATCACTGTGAGAAGGGGGCTTTGTTATGCCAAGAGGACAACTGGTGATAGTCATTTCATAAGCAGGAAAACTGGAGAGAATCATAAGAAATGCATGAGCCACATATGGGAAATGCAAAGACTTGAAAATTTGCGTATAAAATATGCAACCACAATGAGACTACAAAAAGTATCATTAAGAAACTGTGGTATAGGCACAAGACAGGGATGCCCTCTCTCACCACTCCTATTCAACATAGTGTTGGAAGTTCTGGCCAGGGCAATCAGGCAGGAGAAAGAAATAAAAGGTATTCATTTAGGAAAAGAGGAAGTCAAATTGTCCCTGTTTACAGATGACATGATTGTATATCTAGAAAACCCCATCGTCTCAGCCCAAAATCTCCTTAAGCTGATAAGCAACTTCAGCAAAGTCTCAGGATACAAAATCAATGTGCAAAAATCACAAGCATCCTTATACACCAATAACAGACAAACAGAGAGCCAAATCATGAGTGAACTCCCATTCACAATTGCTTCAAAGAGAATAAAATACCTAGGAATCCAACTTACAAGGGATGTGAAAGACCTCTTCAAGGAGAACTACAAGCCACTGCTCAATGAAATAAAAGAGGACACAAGCAAATGGAAGAACATTCCATGCTCATGGATAGGAAGAATCAATATCGTGAAAATGGCCATATTTCCCAAGGTAATTTATAGATTCAATGCCATCCCCATCAAGCTACCAATGACTTTCTTCACAGAATTGGAAAAAACTACTTTAAAGTTCATATGGAACCAAAAAAGAGCCCGCATCGCCAAGTCAATCCTAAGCCAAAAGAACAAAGCTGGAGGCATCACGCTACCTGACTTCAAACTATGCTACAAGGCTACAGTAACCAAAACAGCATGGTACTGGTACCAAAACAGAGATATAGACTAATGGAACAGAACAGAGCCCTCAGAAATAATACCACACATCTACAACTATCTGATCTTTGACAAACCTGACAAAAACAAGAAATGGGGAAAGGATTCCCTATTTAACAAATGGTGCTGGGAAAACTGGCTAGCCATATGTAGAAAGCTGAAACTGGATCCCTTCCTTACACCTTAAACAAAAATCAATTCAAGATGGATTAAAGACTTAAATGTTAGACCTAAAACCATAAAAATCCTAGAAGAAAACCTAGGCAATACCATTCAGGACATAGGCATGGGCAAGGACTTCATGTCTAAAACACCAAAAGCAATGGCAACAAAAGCCAAAATTGACAAATGGGATCTAATTAAACTAAAGAGCTTCTGCACAGCAAAAGAAACTACCATCAGAGTGAACAGGCAACCTACAGAATGGGAGAAAATTTTTGCAATCTACTCATCTGACAAAGGGCTAATATCCAGAACTAAAAAGTACTCAAACAAATTTACAAGAAAAAAAAACCCCATCAAAAAGTGGGTGAAGGATATGAACAGACACTTCTCAAAAGAAGACATTTATGCAGCCAACAGACACATGAAAAAATGCTCATCATCACTGGCCATTAGAGAAATGCAAATCAAAACCACAATGAGATATCATCCTACACCAGTTAGAATGGCAATCATTAAAAAGTCAGGAAACAACAGGTGCTGGAAAGGATGTGGAGAAATAGGAACACTTTTACACTGTTGGTGGGACTGTAAACTAGTTCAACCATTGTGGAAGACAGTGTGGCGATTCCTCAGGGATCTAGAACTAGAAATACCATTTGACCCAGCCATCCCATTACTGGGTATATACCCAAAGGAATATAAATCATGCTGCTATAAAGACACATGCACACATATGTTTATTGCAGCACTACTCACAATAGCAAAGACTTGGATCCAACCCAAATGTCCAACAATGATAGACTGGATTAAGAAAATGTGGCACATATACACCATGGAACACTATGCAGCCATAAAAAAGGATGAGTTCATGTCCTTTGTAGGGACATGGATGAAGCTGGAAACCATCATTCTCAGCAAACAATTGCAAGGACAAAAAGCCAAACACTGTATGTTCTCACTCATAGGTGGGAATTGAACAACAAGAACACTTGGACACAGGAAGGGGAACATCACACACTGGGGCCTGTTGTGGGGTGGGGGGAGTGGGGAGGGATAGCATTAGGAGATATACCTAATGTAAATGATGAGTTAATGGGTGCAGCACACCAACATGGCACATGTATACATATGTAACAAACCTGCACGTTGTGCACATGTACCCTAAAACTTAAAGTATAATAAAAAATATATATTAATAAAATAGAATTATGACCTCTAAAAAGAAAGAAAGAAAAAAAAAGAAACTGTGGTATAAATGAATGAGAACTGAGTCCCCAAACCATGGCCCAGACTATCACTTCTTGGCAATGGAATTAGATAGAAGTTTAGTTTGTAGTAATATCCTGTTACTAGTGTCTTTACAATCCCAAGTCATTTATTAATATGTTATTGTAGAGAAGAAGCAGGAAAACAGACATAGAGAAAATTGAAATAGTTCTCCTAAAAATGGAATGCAACTCGAATGGGAAGCTGACACTTCAATCTTGCCTATGTTTTCCTGATTGCTACAAAAATTACAATGAGAGCAAAGTGTGTGAATTTTTTTGTCAAAAAGTTTGCGAAGTCTTACCTCCTCACTTTGCTTGTATCTCGTTAGCAAAAGGGAGTAGAATATGCTCACCTTCTGGAAGTCAGGACAAAGAGTCAGAAAGGAGTCAGTAGAAGAAAAAAAGCATTTTAAATCTGTAATGCAGGATGACTCAGAGTCAGACTGTCCTCCTTCCTTAATGGGAAAAGCTGGCACATGCCTGAGCATAAAAAGAGAAAGGGATTTTTGACTTTGAATATGTTTAAGAATATCTGAAAAATTTCTCAGTAAAATCCTTAAATGCAGATTTTTCTTCAACTTAGGTTTTCTGTTTTTTTTTAAAATTTGATTCTTGGGAGACATAAAAGAAAAATATCTGTAATTTTGACTTGGCCTTTTATTTACCTTATTCTTGGTCCTGCCCCAGTTTTCTTCTTTTCTGAAAGCATATTACAGAGAGTATGATGGAATTACCTAATCACAAACTACCAGGTTGACATTTGTGGTAAATCATTTAACTTTATTTTATAAAGAATATTTTATTGATTAAATAAAAATTTGAGTTTTTAGAAGAAGATACATTATAATTCTATCACAATAAAATATTTTGAACAAAAGGAAATTTTAAAAATAATTTTAATTTACTCATCCATTTATCAAGAAAATAAAGCAAAACCAACAGTTTATCACTCATTGTCTTGTGACTTTAGGTAATTAAAAGTAACACTAAAAATATTTCAATAAAATTTAGAGTTGAGATGTCACATTGTTTTCCAGCTAAATATGAATTACTTTTCTAACTGTGAAATCAATTAAGTCACTAGGGAGAAGATATCTCAAGTTATATGAAAGATACAGTAAGAAGTTGGTCACTAATTACAGTGATGAAAAAGGTAAAATATGGTTACTCGTTAAAATTATATTTCTCATGCAGTTTTTGTTTTTTTTTTTTTTTTTCTGAGACAGGATTGTGCTCTGTTGCTTGGGCTGGAGAATAGTGGCATGATCATGGCTCACTGCAGCCTTGACCACCTGGGTTCCAGCAATCCTCCCACCTCAGCTTCCTGAGTAGCTGGGACTACAGGTGTGCATCACCACACCCAACTAATTTTTTAGCTTTTTATAGAGACGGGGGTCTCACTGTGTTGCCCAAGCTAGTCTTGAATTCTTGGGCTCAGGCAATCCTCCCACTTTGGTCTCCCAAAGTTCTGGGATTACAGATGTGAGCCACTATGCCGTACCATCCCATGCATTTTTGAAAATACTAATCACTATGACATCACAAATGGAAAATAATTCTATCACTTTGTTTTCTTCTCACAACATCCTTAGAGCATTTTGAATTGAATAAAGTGCCCAATATTTCAAAGAATGTAGTGAGAAACAAATGAGAAAGAAGACATAGACCTTTATTTTGTGGAGAAATAAACATAAGAACCATTATGGGATTCATTTGGTATAAATTTATTATGCAGAAGAAACTATAAATTGAGTATTCAAAAATAATTGAATACATTCACATTTTTAGTCTACCTCACATTCAGGTTTTAAAGTAACAGGAGTGTAAAAAGATATCAATAATATAAATAAATAAAAATCTAGAATCATTTCTAGAAAAATTATTGCTGAAGTGAGCTTTTGTCTAAAGTCTACTATTCTTTCCAAAAGCAGAGGGGGTTAAAATAACAAAAACCAAAAACAAATAAAGCCTACTGAATCTAAATTAACTAAAGTATTAGATATTATTAGATTCTGAGCATTATTATAAGTTATTCTGTACCTTAAGAGAAAATCCTGCCTCTTGCATGTGCCTGGGTAGACCCTAAATAGTCAGTCACTGAAATTATTGTCCTAGACCTACATTTCTTTCCCGCTGCCTCACTGTCGCTCTTTCTCAGACTGAAAAACTAAGCAACACTTACCAAGCAGGGTTTTGAGAGTGTGTTTTTCCATGTGAGGACAGCCACGCTGCTGTTATATAAAAAGAATCTCATTACCTCATCTCTCCCCCTCTCCCCGGATGAGCAATTTTCCTATTACCTTTGAAATACGGCAATGTCTGGTTGTTTTGGTAAGAAGCAGTCTCAAAAGGGAAAAAGAGGTACTTACTTTACTTACCAAGTAAAGCAAAGTAAATAGCGACACCTCCTCAGTTGAACACTTTTTAATGTCGTAATCCACAATGTGTAAACCTGGGGTGTTCATGTGATTATATCACACTAAGCCAAACTAAATCCCCACTTCCACTTGACCTAGCATGTATATCAGTGTCATGTAGGATAAGCTCGAACACATTGAGAACTGAAAATTGGAATATAAACTAATTACTTTTTTTGTTTATTTGTTTGGTTTTTCTTGAGATGCAGTTTCGCTCTCATCGCCCAGGCTGGAGCGCAGTGGCGCCATCTCGGCTCACCACAACCTCCACCTCCCGGGTTCACGTGATTCTCCTGCCTCAGCCTTCCCGAGTAGCTGGATCACAGGCAAGCGCAACCATGCCCGGCTAATTTTGTATTTTTTTAGTAGAGACGGGGTTTCTCCATGTTGGTCAGGCTGGTCTCAACTCCCGACCTGAGGTGATCCGCCCGCCTCGGCCTCCCAAAGTGCTGGGATTGCAGGCGTGAGCCACCGGGCCCGGCCAACTTACTACTTTTAACTTGTCTTTCTTTACTGAAATGGTGAAGGCAAGGAGACACTAGTAGCAATGAGCAGGCCATATATTCAGATTTCTGAAAAACTATTTTATTAAGATTTGACTGACATATCAAAAGTTGTACATATTTAAGGGTAAGTATATGCTACAAAACCATAACCACCATCATGGCCATAAACATATACATCACTTCCCAAAGTTACCTTCTACATCCTTTATTATTGCTGTTCTTTTTGTTTGCTTGGTTGGTTTTGTGTTATTTTTTATGAACATTTAACATAAGATCTACCCTCTTAGCAAATTGAAGGTATACAGTACAGTTTTGTTAACTATAGACACCAAGTTATATATCTTGAGAATTTATTTATCTTGCATAACTATAACTTTGTACAATTTAACCATTACTTCTTCATTTCCTCCTCCATCCAGCCCTTGACAGCCATCATTCTATTCTCAACTTCTGTGAGTCCATTTTAGATCCTTCATATATAGGTGAGATTATGCAGTATGTGTCTTTCCCTTACAGCCAGATTTTGATTTCTAAATACCTATTTCCATATAAGCCTAACCATGATTCTTTGGTCTTGAGTAGGAAATATATAAAATGGGCCTTTGTCAAAAAGCAAGAAAGCACTACAAGATGAGTGAGATTTCATCAAAAAGATAGACAAGACAGAATTTAGGGGCTTCCAAGGGTAAATTGGGGATGACATTTTTGTTATTGTTTGTTTGTTTTTTTTGAGACAGAATCTCACTCTGTTGCCCTGGCTGGAGTGCAGTGGTGCCATCTTGGCTCACTGCAACCACCGCCTCCCAGGTTTGAGTGATTCTCCTGCCTCAGTCTCCCAAGTAGCTGGGATTACAGGTGTGCACCACCACGCCCAGCTGATTTTTGTATTTATTTATTTATTTGTAGAGATGGGGTTTCACCATGTTGTTCAGGCTGGTCTCAAACTCCTGGTCTCAAGTGATCTTCCCACCTTGGCCTCCCAAAGTGCTGGAATTACAGGCATAAACCATCGTGCCCAGCCCAATCTGGGGACATTTGGACATCAAAATAAATATTGACTAGAATTAATGCAGCTGAGTGCCATGGTGCATGCCTGTAGTCCCAGGTACTTGGGAGGCTGAGGCAGGTGGATCACTTGAGCCCAAAAATTTGAGGCCAGCCTGTGCATCATAGCAAAGCCTAGTCGAAAAAAAGAACTAATGCTTTCCATATATAAATGTTCATTATCCCACTCTCAGTGTTACTTAAAAAAGAGTATGAATATTAATATTGTGTGTGTAATAACATAGATGAAAAGCAAATGTCAAACTCACCCTATATACCAGTCAATCTTAAAAATGTCCAATCAATAATGCTACCCAGTCTCCGAATACAGTGTAAGATTTCCCTGGGCAAGGAGGCAAGCCCAAGACCATTCTTATTTCTGGAGTACCTCCTTGCCCATTTCTAGTGGCTGAGCAATAATTCCACCCAATTTCTGAGCCTTGCCCAACTGCAAGATCCAAAGAGTAATACCACTCAGCCTGGAGCCACAGCCTGAGACCCTCCTTTATAAAGGTGACAGCAGAGCCCAGTCCACAGCTCCTCCTGACTGAAGAGCCCAGCTACTGATTTCACCAGACCTCACAGCCCAGCCAGAAGCTTTAGCTGATCTCAGAGCACAGGCCGCAACCCAGCCCAAAGAGAGAATGTGACAGCAACCTCCTCCTGTCCATGGTCACTGCCATTTGAGCCATCCAGAACCCAGGTTAGAATAAACAGTAAAGGACTAGTCCCATGAAAGAACACATGGGAAGACTGGGAGATGTGGCCATGGTTTTAAAATGACAGACACCAACACAAGGACACAAAGATTATGTAGAATCAGTAAAATATGACACTACCAAAAGAAACTAATAAAGGTCCAATAATAGATTGTTTAAAAATTAAGATCTATGAACTAAGAATGGAATCCCTTAAAGAAGTTCACTGAGTGATTAAAAAAAAGAGAAAAGAAAACTAAATGGAATTAGGAAAATATGACACAAAGAAAAGGAGAAGATTGAAAAAATAAATAGAAACAATAAAACAAATAGAAATCCTAGAAAGGAAGAATAAGATGACAGAAGTAAAAAATTCAATAGAAACCTCCAATAGCAGACTTGATTAAACAAAAGAAATAATCCATGAGCTTGAAGAAAGAACATTTGAATTTATCTAATGAGAGAATCAAAAAGCAAAAAGAATAAAAATGAATGAAGAAAACCTACAGGATCTATAGTATACTATCAAGAGAGCTAATACTTGCATAATAGGAGTTCAGAAGGAAAAGAGAAAGAGAGAAATAAACAAAAAGCTTACTTTTAAAAATTATGGGCCAGACAGGGTGGTTCATGCCTATAATCCAAGCACTTAGGGATGCTGAGGCATGAGGACCATCCAAGATCAGTAGTTCCAGAGCAGCCTGGGCAACTCCAAAAATATATTTTTAATAAAAATTTTGATAAATTTATATCATTATAATATATATTGTTAAAAATTTATTAAAATAATAACTATATATTATATTATTTTATAAGTAATGTAAATTTTAAATAAGATATTCTAATAAATTTAATTTTTGTCACTACAAAAAATAAATTAAAAAAAAATTTTTTAAGATGGTTAAGGCCAGATGCAGAGGCTCATGCACTTTGGGACACTGAGGTGGGAGGAATGCTTGAGCCCAAAAGTTAGAGATTGGCATAGGCAATATAGTGAAAGCCATCTATAAAAAAATTTAAAAATTAGCCAGCCATAGTGGTGCATGCCTGTAGTCCCAGCTACTTGGGGGGCTGAGGTGGGAGAATTGCTTGAGCCCAGGAGGTCAAGGCAGCAGTGACTTATGATTGTGCCACTGTACTCCAGCCTGGGGGACAAAGCAAGGCCCTTCCTTGAAAAAAAAAAGAAATTATGGTTAAAAATTTCTGAATATGGGAAAAGATATGAGCATCTAGGCATAAGAATCTCAGTGATATTCAATTAAACTCAAGCCAAAGAATAGCTCACCTAGAAGTATTAAGAAAAATCTCTCAAAATCAAAGAAAAAAAGGAAATTCTGATATCACCATGATGTAAAAAATATCACATACATGGGAGCCCCCAGTGTAGTTATCAATGAATTTTTTTACCATTTTTAATTTTTGTGGGTACATAATAGGTGTATATATTTATGGGGAACATAAGATGTTTTGTACAGGCATGCAATGCATAATAATCATATCATGGAGAATGGAGTAGCCATCCTGTCAAAAATTTATCCTTTGTGTTACAAATAATCCAATTATACTATTTTAGTTAGTTTTAAATGCACATTTAAATTATTATTGCCGATAGTCACCCTGTTGTGCCATGTAAGAGTAGGTCTTATTCATTCTTTCTAACTATTTTTTGTACCCATTATCTACCCCTACTTCCCTCCCAACCCCTCACTACCCTTCCCAGCTTCTGATAACCATCCTTCTACTCTCTATCTTCATGAGTTTAATTGTCTTCATTTTTAGATCCCACAAATAAGTGAGAATGTACATTGTCTTTCTGTGCCTGGATCATTTCACTTAATATAATGATCTCCAGTTCCATCCATGTTGTTGCAAAGGACAAGATCTTATTCTTATTCTTTTTGAAATCATCATTCTCAGTAAACTATCGCAAGGACAAAAAACCAAACACCGCGTGTTCTCACTCATAGGCGGGAATTGAACAATGAGAACACATGGACACAGGAAGGGGAACATCACACTCTGGGGACTGTTGTGGGGTGGGCAGAGTGGGGAGGGATAGCATTAGGAGATATACCTAATGCTAAATGACGAGTTAATGGGTGCAGTATGCCAGCATGGCACATGTATACATATGTAACTAACCTGCACATTGTCCACACGTACTCTAAAACTTAAAGTATAATAATAAAAAAATTTTTTAAAAAAGATCTTATTCTTTTTGATGGCTGAATAGTGCTCCATTGTGTATATGTACCACATTTTCTTTATCCATTCATCTGTTGATGGACATTTAGGTTGCTTCCAAATCTTGACTATTGTTAAAGGGCTGCAACAAACATGGGACTGAAGATATCCCTTTGATATCTGACTTCCTTTCAGTGGGACGGCTGGATCACATGTTAGCTCAGTTTGTAGTTTTTTTTGAAGAACCTTCAAACCATTCTCCATAATGGTTGTACAAATTTATATTCCCACTGGAGTGTACAAGGGTTCCCTTTTCTCATGCCCTTGCCAGCATTTTGTATTGCCTGTCTTTTGGATATATACCATTTTAATGGGAGTGAGATGATATCTTACTGTAGTTTTGTCTTCCATTTCTCTGATAATCAATGATGTTGAGCACCTTTTCTTTTCTTTTTCTTTTTTTTTTTTTGTTTGAGACAGAGTCTTGCTCTCTCACCCAGGCTGGAGTGCAGTGGGGCAATCTTGGCTCACTGCAAGCTCCGCCTCCCGGGTTCATGCCATTCTCCTGCCTCAGCCTCCCAAGTAGCTGGGACTACAGGCGCCCGCCACCACGCCCAGCTAATTTTTTGTATTTTTAGGAGAGACGGGGTTTCACCATGTTAGCCACGATGGTCTCGATCTCCTGACCTGGTGATCTGCCCACCTTGGCCTCCCAAAGTGCTGGGATTACAGGCGTGAGCCACCGCGCCCGGCCAAGCACCTTTTCATATGCTTATTTTCCATTTGTATGTCTTCTTTTGAGAAATGGTTATTCAACTCTTTTGCCCATCTTTTGATCAAATTATTAGTTTTTTTTTGTATAGAGTTGTTTGAGCTCCTTATAGATTACGGTTACTAACTCCTTGTCAGATAGGTGGTTTGCAAATATTTTTTCCTATTCTGTGGGTTGTCTCTTAACTTTGTTGATTGTATTTGCTGTGCAGAAACTTTTTAACTTGATGTGATCTCATTTGTCTATTTTTGCTTTGGTTACCTGTGCTAGTGGGGTATTGCTCAAAACATTTTTGCCCAGATCAATGTCCTGGAGATTTTCTCCAGTATTTTCTGGTAGTTGTTTCACGGTTTAATGTCTTAGATTTAAGTCTTTAGTCCATTTTCATTTTATTTTTATATATGGTGAAGGAGAGGGGTCTAGTTCCATTCTTCTGCATATGGATATCCAGTTTTCTCAGCACCATTTAATGAAGAGACAGTCTTTTCCCCCAGTGTATATGTATTCTTGGCATGTTTGTTGAAAATGAGTTTACTGTAGGTATGTGGAATTATTTCTGAGTTCTCTATTCTGTTCTATTGGTCTATGTGTCTACCTTTATGCCAGTGCCACGCTGTTTTTGGTTATTACAGCTCTGTAGTGTAACATGAAGTCAGGTAACGTGGTTCCTCCAGTTTTGTTCTTCTCGTTCAGGATACTTTTGGCTATTCCGGATCTTTTGTGGTTTCATATAAGTTTCAGGATTGTTTTTTCTATTTCTGTATAGCATTTCATTGGTATTTTGACAGGGATTGCATTTTATTTGTAGATTGCTTTGGGTAGTATAAACATTTTAACAGTATTGTTTCTTCCAATACATGAACATGAAATATCTTTCCATTTTTTGGTGTCCTCTTCAATTTCTTTCATCAGTGTTTTACAGTTTTTATTATACAGATCTTTCACTTTTTTGGTTAATTCCAGGTATTTAACTTTATTTCTGGCTGCTGTATATGGGATTCCTATTTTTTATTTCTTTTTCAAATTGTTCACTGTTGGCATAAAGAAGTGCTACTCATTTTTTATTTTATTTTATTTTTTTTGGAGACAGAGCCTTGCTCTGTCGCCCACGATGGAGTGCAGTGGCGCGATCTCGGCTCATGGCAAGCTCCACCTCCCGGGTTCACGCCATTCTGCTGTCTTAGACTCCCGAGTAGCTGGGACTGCAGGCACCCGCCACCACGCTCAGCTAATTTTTTTGTATTTTTAGTAGAGATGGGGTTTCACCGTGTTAGCCAGGATGGTCTCGATCTCCTGACCTTGTGATCCACCCACCTCGGCCTCCCAAAGTGCTGGGATTACAGGCATGAGCCACCGTGCCCAGCCATAGAAATGCTACTGATTTTTGTATGCTGATTTTGTATTCTGCAACTTTACTGCATTTACCAGTTATAATAACTTTTTAGTGAAGTCTTTATGTTTTGCCAAACATAAGATTATATCATCTGCAAAAAGGATAATTTGATTTCTTCCTTTCCAATTTGAATGCCCTTTATTTCCTTCTTTTGTCTGATTGTTCTAGCTAGAGCTTCCAATACCATATTGAATAACAGTGGTGAAAGTGGGCATCCTTGTTGTGTTCCAGATCTTAGAGGAAAAGCTTTCAGTTATTCTCCATTTGGTATATTAGCTGTGAGTCTGTCACATATGGCTTTTATTACGTTCTTCCTTCTATACCCAGTTTTTTGAAAGTTATGAAGGAATGTTAAATTTTGTCAAATGCTTTCTAGTATCAATTGAAATAATTATGTTTTCCTTCATTGTGTTGATATGATGTATCACATTGATTGATTTGCATATATTGGACCATCCTGGCATCCTAGGGAATAATACCACTTGATCATGATGAATTATCTTTCTAATGTATTGTTGTATTCAGTTTGCTAGCATTTTGTCGAAGGTTTTTGCGTCAATAATCATCAGAGATATTGGCCTGCAGTTTTCTTTTTTGATGTGTCTTTGGTTTTTCTATCAGTGTAATACTGGCCTCGTAGAATGAGTTTGGGAGTATTCCCACCTGCTCTATTGTTTGAAATAGGATTTGGGTAGGATTGGTATTAGTTCTTCTTTAAATGGTAGAATTCAGCAGTGAAGCCATTGGGTTCCAGGCTTTTCTTTACTGGGAGGCTTTTTATAACGACTTTGATTTTGTTACTTGTTATTGGTCTGTTCAGGTTTTGGATTTCTTCATCATTCAATCTTGGTAGGCAGTATGTGTCTATGAATTTGTCCATTTCTCTAAATTTTCCAATTTATTGGCATATAGTTTCTCATAGTAGCCACTAATGATCCTTTGAATTTTGCAAATTATTTGTAATGTCTCCTTTTTCATGTCTGATTTTATTTATTTATATAGTCTCTCTTTTTTTTTCTTAGTTTGTCTGGCTAAATGTCTGTCATTTTGTTTGACTTTTCAAAAGACAACATTTTTGTTCATCTTTTGTATTGTATTAATTATTTCAATTTTAATTATTTCTGCTCTGATCTTTGTTTTCTCTTTCACTAATTTGGGATTTGGTTTGTTCCTGCTTTTCTAGTTCTTTAAGATCTATCATTAAATTTTTTATTAAAAGTTTTCCTTCTCTTTTCTTACAGTCACTTACAGCTATAAGCTTCCCTCTTAGCACTGCTTCTGTTGTATCCCATAGGTTTTGGTATGTTGTGTTTCCATTATTATTTGTCTCAAGAAATTTTTCAATATTCTTCACAATTTCTTTTTTGACCCACTGTCATTCCGGAGCATATTGTTCATTTTCCACGTATTTGTATAGTTTTCAAAATTCTACTTGTTTTATTCCATTGTGGTCAGAGAAGATGCTTAACATTATCTCAACTCTTCTGAATGTTTTAAGACTTGTTTTGTGACTTAACATATGGCCTATCCTTGAGAATGATCCATGTGCTGAGCAAACGAATGTGTATTCTGCAGCCAATGGATAAAATGTTCTGCAAATATGTGTTAGGTCCTCTTGGTCTACAGTGCAAATTGAGTCTGATTTTTTGGTTGATTTCTGTATGGAAGATCTGTCTAATAATGAAAGTGGGGTGTCGAAATCCCTATTATTGTAGTATTGTCTGTCTCTCTCTTTTGGTCTAATAACGTTTGCTGTATATATCTGGGTGCTCCAGTGTTGGGTGCATATGTATTTAAAATTGTTACATCCTCTTGCTGAATTGGTCTTTTATCATAATACAGTGAACTTCTTTGTCTTTTATAGTTTTTATTTTGAAGTTCTTTGAAATTTAGGGTATTTTTATTTTATTTGAAATGTCCTAAAGATATCATGTAGAAAAAGAAAAGTAGCAGGATTATTTTAATTTTGTCACATAATAGTGCTTGGTTCTTTTTAATTGCATAGGGTAATACATTTTAACAGATGACTATCTTGTCATCTTTTTAATCACTGTAATTAGACAATGCCTTTTTAATATATCTGACATATATCTGGAACTGTCATCTTTTGCTTGGTGATTTAGTTGATTTTACACTTAGAAATGTGACTCATATTTTATTAGAAGATAATATAAAGCCTCATTTTTGTATCTTATTAAAAATTCTTTCAGTTTTACTGTTTTAATTATCCAAAGTCTCAAGATGTGAGTGAGAACATATTTTATAGCAGTCTCAGTTAATTGTATTAATAGATAAGAGTAAATAGTTCAAATGTTTTCTACCTCTTGTTAAAAACACTTTATCAGTAAATTTATAATGCACTTTCTTTCAAAGTCTCAAATTATAATTCATTCATCAAAAATGCAGTTCACAAAAAAGTCAGATAATTTGCCACAAATGACAACGAGTGGTTTACGATATGTCCATCATATTCTGTATAATTAGTTGCTTTCAAAGGATAATAAAATTATAGTAGGACCATAAGTAAGATGAATAAAAGAACAAAGTCAATATGGCAAAGATTTGTCTTTCCTGTCTCCCAGGAAGTGAAGCATAAAATCTCAGGAAATCTGAATAGGAGAAAATCTACATTTAAAGCCATGCATGGATAAAATTTCAGAGCCTCCTTATACTTATTAAAAGTGGAAAAAGTCCTCCTTCTTTCCCTGAAAATGTGTGCCGTCTGATCACATTAAGGATATAATTTGGATGTCTGTCCCCTCAATATCTCATGTTGAAATGTGCTTCCTAGTGTTGGAGGTGGGGCTTGGTGAGAGGTGTTTTGGTCATGGGGGCCGATTCCTCATGAATAGCTTGGTGCCCTTCCTATGGTAATCAGTTCATATGAGACCTGGTTGTTAGAGTCTGGGACCTCCTCCCTCACTTGTTTTCTCTCTCACTCATGTGGCATGCCTGCTCCCCTTCCCCTTTCAGCGTGATTGGAAGCTTCCTGAGGCCTCACCAGAAGCAGATGCTGGCACTATGCTTCTTGTACAGCCTGCATAACTGTGAGCCAAAATAAACCTCTTTCCTTTATAAATTACTCAGCTTCAGGTTTTCCTTTATAGTAACACAAAATGAACTAATACAAGGACAGATTGAATTTAGAATGAACCTGAGACCTGGACTGTAGATTTTGAATAGTTCGTTTTCCTTCAGCTGACAGTTCCAAGGCCCTGAATGTGAAAAGGGGAATGTATTCTATGCCCTTTCACTAACCTCGGGCGCAAACAAAGTCAGGGCATAAACTTTGCAAATTGTTTAAACAACAGAAGTCTTACTTATTTAAAAAATGTAAATTGACGGTTTAAAATTCTATATGTTTATAGTGTCTAAAGTGATGTTATAATTTATTAAGACAATGTGGAAAATTAAATCAAGCTAATTAACATGTTCATCACCTCAAATATTTTCATTTTTATGGTGAGAGCATGTTAAATTTACTCAGTAATTTTGAATTTTACAATGCATTATTAACCATATTTACTACAGTGTGCAATAAATCTCATTGTAAAAAAACCTTATTCCCCCAATCTAACTGAGATTTTGTGCCCTTTGACTGTCATCTTTCCTTTCCCCATGTACCCCAGCTTCTATAGCCATGGTCCTACCATCTGTTTCTATGAGTTTAATTGTTCTAGATTCTACATTTTGTGAGAACATAAAGTATTTGTCTTTCGTGCCTGGCTTATTTCACTTAGCACGATGTCCTCCAGGTTCATCCGTATTGTTATAAATGACAGAGTTTCCTTGTATTTTAAGGCTGAATAGTACTCCATTTTTTATGTACACCACATTTTCTTTATCCATTTGTCTGTTGATAGACACTTAGGTTGATTTCATAACTTGACTATGGTGAATAGTTCTGTAATGAACATGGGAGGGATTTCAAATCTTTTAGGTAAATGCTGAAATAGATAGTAATTTTATTTTTAGTTTTGTATGTATGGACATTTAAACCTCCATTCTATTTTCTGTAATTGTTGTACTGATCTACATTCCTACCAACAGTCTAACCTGTTCCTTTTCTTCCCATCCTTCCTAACACTTGCTCTCATAATTTTTGTAGTGATCAGGAAAATAGAGAAGTTTGAAATGTGAGTTTCCCATTAGAATTACATTCTATTCATGGTAGAACTTCTCCAATTTATTTTCCATCTCCTTCCTCCTACTTCATGTCTACAATGACATAGATGCCTTGAATTATAAACATTCTAGTAACAGGATAGAACTGTGAACTAAACCGTATATCCAATTCACTTGCCAAAGAAGTGATAGTCTGCGCCATGGTTTTGGAAATTAGTTCTCATTCATGAATTCCAAAGTTTCCTAATAATCTTTTTTTTTTTTTTTTGAGATGGAGTCTTGCTCCGTCGCCCAGGCTGGAGTGCAGTGGCGCGATCTCAGCTCACTGCAAGCTCCGCCTCCTGTGTTCATGCCATTCTCCTGCCTCAGCCTCCCGAGTAGCTGGGACTACAGGCGCCTGCCACCACGCCCGGCTAATTTTTTGTATTTTTAGTAGAGACAGGGTTTCACCGTGTTAGCAAGGATGGTCTCGATCTCCTGACTTCGTGATCTGCCCACCTCAGCCTCCCAAAGTGCTGGGATTACAGGTGTGATCCCAGCCCCTAATAACTGCACCCAGCCCCTAATAACCTTTTTTAATCTTAGTGAAGTTGTATGTTTCATACACAAATTTTGTCACATGGCCTATGATAACAGAGTTATAAATTAAGTATATGCAAAGTTATGCATTGTGTAGAAATAAAATAATAATGCAATATTCATTTATAGTGATTTTGACTCCTCAAAATATTTATTATATATAATATTGATTTTGTAACTATAACATTAATATTCTATTGGTGCAACTTGTTAATTAATAAATATAAATAAAGTAATGTAAAAAATATACACACACACAAGCACATGTGTACACACACACGAGGGGTAAATGGCTAAGTACTTTAATTTTACTTAGACGTGCTCATCCCTGTAATCCTAGCACTTTGGGAGACTGAGGCAGGAGGATCACTTGAGCTCAGGAGTTTGAGACCAGCCTGGGTAACATAGTGAGACCTCATCTCTACTTAAAAAAATAACTGATAATAAATAAATAAAATAAGAATAAAGAATTACATGATTGAGTTGTATCTTGGATGGTGAGAAATAAATGATTCAGATTTAAGCTATAGGCCAGGTGCAGTGGCTCATGCCTGTAATCCCAGCACTTTGGGAGGCCGAGGCAGGTGGATCACCTGAGGTCAGGTGTTCAAGACCAGCCTGGCCAACATGGTGAAACCCCATCTCTACTAAAAATACAAAATTACCTGAGTATGGCAGCACATGCTTGTAATCCCAGCTACTCAGAAGGCCGAGGCCAGAGAATCACTTGAACCCAGGAGGCAGAGGTTGCAGTGAGCCAAGCTTGCACCACTGCACTCCAGCCTGGGTGACAAAGAGAGACTCTGTCTCAAAAATAAAATAAAATAAAGATTTAATCTATATTTGTAGTTTAGAAACTAATGATTCCAGATCATAGAGATGTTGAAATTGGTTATTATTGAGAACATGGCAGAAATTATGCTATTCTCATTAGATCTCTTGCTTTTCTCCACAGATATCCTTTGCTTTAATTTTCCTTCTAAGATGATCAAACTTCCTGGTTTTATTACCATACAAATCTTCTTTTATCCACAAGCCAGCTTTGGAATTTCAGCAAACACCATCCTTCTTCTTTTCCACATCTTCACCTTTGTTTTCAGTCACAGGTCTAAGTCCATTGACATGATAATTAGTCACCTGTCTCTCATCCACATACTGCTGCTCTTCACTCAGGCAATATTGGTGTCCTTAGACTTCTTTGGTTCACAGAATACTCAGGATGATCTTAGGTATAAGGTCATTGTCTTTTTAAACAAGGTGATGAGGGGCCTCTCCATCTGCACCCCCTGCCTCCTGAGTGTGCTCCAGGCCATCATCAGCCCCAGCATCTTCTCCTTGGCAAAGCTCAAACATCCTTCTGCAAGTCACATCTTAGGATTCTTCCTTTTCTCATGGGTCCTCAACATGTTCATTGGTGTAATCTTCTGCTGTACACTGCGGCTACCCCCAGTGAAACGGGGCCAGTCTTCTGTTTGTCATACAGCACTGTTCCTTTTTGCCCATGAGCTACACCCACAGGAGACTGTTTTTCACACTAATGACTTTGAGGGATGTCACCTTTATAGGGTTCATGGTCCTCTCAAGAGGCTACATGGTGATTATTTTATACAGACAATAAGAGGCTATCTCAGTGCCTTCACACAGCCAGCCTGTCCCCGAGTCTCACCAGTGAAAAGAGCCTCCCAGGCTATCTTACTGCTGGTGAGTTTTGTCTTCACATACTGGGTGGACTTTACGTTCTCATTTTCAGGAGGTGTGACATGGATAAATGATTCTCTGCTAGTGTGGCTCCAGGTTATTGTGGCCAATAGCTATGCCGCAATTAGTCCTTTGATGCTAATTTATGCTGATAACCAAATATTCAAGACTCTGCAAATGTTATGGTTTAAATATTTGTCTCCTCCAAAGCTCATGTTGAAATTTAATCGCCAATGTGGCAGTACTAAGAAGTGATGAGAGGTTAATCCATTCATGAACTCATGAATTAATGGGTTGTCATGAGAATGGGACTGGTGGCTTTAGAAGACGAGGAAGAGAGACCACTCAGCCTCCTTGCCATATGATGCCGTCTGCTGCCTCAGGACACTACAGAATTCCCACCAGCAAGAAGGCTCTGATCATCTGGTGAGATATTGGACCTTCCATAACTGTAATAAGCAAATTCCTTTTCATTAGAAATTGCCCAGTTTCAGGCATTGTGTTATAAGCAACAGTAAATGGACTAAGATCTTCTTACTAAGTTGTCAGAAAATAAGAATAAATGTTTAAAAAGAAGTGATGAAAATTAAGACTTAAAAATGAAATTGGCCATCACCTAGGGTTTTTAAATGTCACGATATTTTGTCTCTGTGTAAATTTTTAACGGGTATTATTAATCTCTGTTGCATCTGATTTAGGAACTTTTATAATACGGCAGAAAAGCACTTGTAGATATTTGATCACATTTTATACATCAATCATATATGTCTATAGGCTTTTTTTTTTTTTCTTTGAGATGGAGTTTCGCTCTTGTTGCCCAGGCTGGAGTGCAATGGCATGATTTTGCCTCACTGCAACCTCTGCCTTCAAGCGGAGGATCTGTTGGTTTTGAGTTATATTTACCCAGCAGTCAAGGAAAACCTAAACAAAGACATTAATTTGAAAATGCCCCAGCTGTAGGGCATGGGGCTTTTGGAAGAAGCAAATACAAATTTTATTTTTTTTTGAGATAGGGGTCTCTCTATGTTGCCCAGGTTAGTATTAAACTCCTGAGCTCAAGCAATCTTTTCACCTTAGCCTCCAAGGAGGTCCAGGTTCAAGCGATTTTCCTGCCTCAGCCTCTGGAGTAGCTGGAATTACAGGCACCTGCCACCATGCCCAGCTAATTTTTTGTATTTTTAGTAGAGACGAGGTTTCATCATGTTGGACAGGCTGGTCTCGAACTCCTGATCTCAGGTGATCCACCCGCCTTGGCCTCCCAAAGTGCAGGGCTTATAGGCGTGAGCCACCACGCCTGGCCTTCCATAGGCTTTTTATTTCTTGTGTTCTATTCTTTTTTTTCTCATCTCAGGCCAGATTTCTGGAATCATTTTCTTTTTTTCCTGAATTATATTATTTGAAAATTGTTTTATTGAAGATCAGTTTAGGCGAACTGTTGCCATATGATCTGAAATGTCTTTCATTCTCCTTTTTGTAAAAGTTAAAGTACACAGTTTTATGTTGACAATCTCACATCACACTTTCAAACAAATATTTCCCTGAGTCCCAACTTCCATTTTTGATTTTGAAAATTACAGACATTTACAATATTGTTTGTGTGTGTGTGCGTGTGTGTGTGTAACTTAAAGTTCCCTCTCCTCCTAGCTAACTTTAACTTTTATCGATTTATGGCTGATATTCCTATGACACTCTGGTGCATCTGTCTACAGATATTTCTATTTTTTATATTACACTTATTTAATATTCTTCATTAATCTTCATTAATTCATTAATTTAATTAATTGGACCTTTTTGTTTTACTCCTTATATCGCGTAACTTCTTTTATATACTTTACATTGCTTTGTTTTCGAGTTCACATTCTAGGAAACTTATTCAGCCAAATAGCTTGGTTTTACTAAAAGTTTTTTTCAATTCTGTATCAACTGCAATCTAACCATTTCATTGATTCTGGGTACACAATTTTAAAAAAAACTTTGTTTGCAGTTGTTCTATTTAGTCACTTTTCAAATATGCCACATCATGCTTCTAGTCTCCTACTATTTACTCTTTAAAAATTTAAATTCATTTTTGTTTTCTCTTAATCTGATATTCATATCTCATATCACAAGGTATAATTCTGATAATTTCTGGTTTGGTAATTATTAATTCTGCTGGCTTGTTTGCTGCCTACTTTGTAATTTAATTGTCATAAGTGACATCATTTTGTTCCTTGAGAAGGCTGAGGGTCTCAGTGATAGATGACTGGAAAGAAAATTTGGAAGCTTGACACAGTGGCACACATTTGTAATTCTAGAAACTCAGGAGGCTAAGGTGAGAAGATCGCTTGAGCCCAGGAGTTTAATACTAGCCTGGGCAACATGGAGAGACCCCTATCTCAAAAAAAAAAAAAAAAAAAAAGAGAAAGAAAATTTGTATTTGCTTCTTCCAAAAGCCCCATGCCCTACAGCTGGGGCATTTTCAAATTAATGTCTTGGTTTAGGTTTTCCTTGACTATTTATGCCAGATAAATATAACTCAAAACCAACAGGTCCTTTATTCCCCTCAGAGTTTAAGTATCAAGGTAGAAATAGTTCCATTGTGTAATCTGGCTTACCAACTTCTCTTTTGACTCAAAGTATAAAACCTTGAAAGTATTAGCATTGTGTAGGTGTCCCAGTTTCATTCAATGGGTTAAATACATTGATGTTATTTTCCCTTTACCTACACAATTGACATAAATCAACATTTCACATTGGTAGTACCAGCCAATCCCTTCAGAGGAGCCCGGGCGTCCCTGTTTGATTTCAACCAAGCTTAAGAATTATCTTTATTTTATTCCCATGGGGATTCCCTCTATTATCTTGTAGGTTCAGCTAGACATTTAAATATATATTAATTTATACACCATTTATAAACTAAAGAGTTTCTGCAAAGCAAAAGAAACTATCAACAGAATAAACAGACTATCTACAGAATCAGAGAAAACAATTACCAACTGTGCATCTGGCAAAGTTCCAGAATCTATAAGGATTAGTCCATAATATCCAGAATCTATAAGGAACAAATCAATAAACCAAAAACAAACAGCTCCATTAAAAATGGGCAAAGGACATAAATGCTTCTGAAAATAAGACATTCGATAAGCCAAAAACATAAAAATGCTCATCACTACTTATCAGCAAAATGTAAATTAAAACCACAAACTATCTGACCCTAGTCAGAAGGGCTATTATTAAAAAGTCAAAAAATAACAGTTGCTGGAGAGTTTGCAGAGAAAAGGGGGTGCCTGCACACCATTGGTAGAAATGTAAGTTCATTCAGCCACTGTGGAAAGCAGTCTGGAAATTTCTCGAAGAACTTAAAACAGAACTACTATTCAACCCAGCAATCCCACTACTAGGTATACAATCAAAGGAAAATATACCATTCTATAGAGAAGACACATGCACTTGTATGCTCATCACCACACTATGCACAATAGCAAAGACATGGAATGAACCTAAGTGTCCATCAGTGGTGGACTGGATCAAGAAAATATTGTACATGTACACCATCGAATACTATGCAAACAAAAAAGAGTAAAATTATGCCCCTTGCAGTAACATAGATGCAGCTGGAGGCCATCATCTTCAATGAATTAACTCAGAATCAGAAAACAAATACTGGCCAGGCGCAGAGACTCACGTCTGTAATCTCAGCACTTTGGGAGGCCAAGGGGGGCAGATCACATGAGGTCAGGAGCTCAAGGCCAGCCTAGCCAACATGGTGAAACCCCACCCATCTTTACTAAAAATACTAAAAATTAGCTGGACATGGTGACGGGCACCTGTAATCCCAGCTACTCGGGAGGCTGAGGCAGGAGAATTGCTTGAACCTGGGAGGCAGAGGTAGCAGTGAGCTGAGATCCTCCATTGCACTCCAGCCTGGGCAACAAGAGCAAAACTCTGTCTCAAAAATAACATAAAATAAAAATAAAATAAAATATAAAAATAAATAAACCTATTTGTCATTTGTGTGTCTTCTGCAAAATATCTGTTCAAGTAATTTTCTTCTTTTTTAATTGGGTTCTTTGTTTTCTTGCTGTCGAGTTGTTTGAATTTTTTTTTTTTTTGAGATGGAGTCTCACTCTGTTGCCCAGGCTGGAGTGCAGTGGTGCAATCTTGGCTCACTGCAACCTCCGCTTCCCAGGTTCAAACGACTCTTGTGCCTCAGCCTCCCAAGTAGCTGGGATTACAGGTGTGCACCACCACACCACACTAATTTTTGTATTTTTAGTGGAGAGGGGGTTTCACCATGTTGTCCAGGCTGGTCTTGAACTCCTGACTTCAGGTGATCCACCCACCTTGGCCTCCCAAAGTGCTGGGATTACAGGCGTGAGCCACTGCACCAACCAAGTTGTTTGAATTCCTTACATATTTTGGATATTAGCCACCTATCTGATGTATGGTTCATAAATATTTTCTATCACTCTGTGGATTATGTCTTCACTTTGTTAATGGTTTCATTTGCTGTACAGAAGCTTTTTAGTTTGATGCAATCTCATTTGTCTATTTTTGCCTTTGTTGTCGTGCTTTTGGGGTTATACAAAAAAAAATTACCAAGTCTAGTGTTATGGGCCTTTTCCCCATGTTTTCTTATAGTGGTGTTTAAAATTTCAGGAAACTCTTAACATTTTTAAACATTGCCTATTTGATACTTATTTTCTCCCCACATCATTTCTGTGTAAAAAATTTTTTCTCTGTTTTTTTTTGACTAGTTTATTTTGTAGTTATACATCTTTTTCTACAAAAAACGTTTGGAATTTTTAATGATTTCTGATTTTTTCTGTGTCTAACTCATTGATTTCTTATTTTTAAATTAACACCTATGTTTTTATTCATTTATAGTCCTCATTGTTGAGTTGAGGTAGTAATGCGTTTAGTTGCATTATTTATATAGATTTAAATATTGTAAATATACATTTAATAACTGGACTTTCAGCTGTCTGAAAAATGCTGGGGGATAATTGGGTATGGATATTTCTAAGTATTGTGTATTGTCACCTTTTTGTGTTGTAATGCATCTTTCTCACTTTGTTTGCTGTTTGTCATGTTACTGTGTTAGATACTAAAAGATAAATTTTTACTTACTTTCTTTCTGTTTTTTTTTTTTAGAGATGAGGTCTCACGCTGTCACCCAGGCTGGGGTACAGTGGTGTGATCATAGCTCACTGCAGCCTTGAACTCCTGGGCTCAAGCAATTCTCCTGCCTTAGCCTCCATAGTAGCTAGAAGTGCAGATACCTCTTTGATATACTGATTTCCTTTCTTTTCAATATATACACAGCAGTGGGATTTCTGGATCATAGAATAGCTCCACTTTTAGTTTTCTGAGGAACATCCAAACTGCTGTCCATAGTGGTTGTACTAATAATTTACATTCTCACCAACAGTGTATGAGGGGTTCTCTTTTTTCCACAACCTCATCAGCATTTGTTATAGCCTGTGTTTTAAATATAAGCAATTTTGGCTAGGTGCAGTGGCTCACACCTGTAATCCCAGCACTTTAGGAGGCCGAGGTGGGCGGATCACAAGGTCAGGAGTTCGAGACCAGCCTGACCAATATGGTGAAACACTCTCTCCACTAAAAATACAAAAATTGGCCAGCCGTGGTGGCGGGCACCTTTAGTCCCAGCTACTCAGGAGGCTGAGGCAGGAGAATCGCTTGAACCTGGGAGGCAGAGGTTGCAGTGAGCTAAGATCATGCCACTGCACTCCAGCCTGGGCAACAGAGCAAGACTCTGTCTCAAAATATATATATAATTTTAACAGGGGTGAAAAAATATCTCATTGTAGTTTTGATTTGCATTTCTCTAATGATCAATGATGTTGACCACGTTTTTATATACCTGTTGGCCATTTGTCTGTCTTCCTTTAAGAAATGGTGATATGGTTTGGATCTGTGTCCCCACCCAAATTTCATGTGGAATTGTAATCCCCAATGTTGGAGGTGGGGCTTGGCAGGAGTTGATGGGATCATGGGGGCAGAGTTCTCATTAATAGGTTTGCACCATCAACTCGGTGCTATTCTCATGATAGTGAGTGAGTTATCATTAATCTGGTTGTTTAAAAGTGTGTAGCACCTCCCCCATCTCTGTTGCTCCTGCTCCAGCCGTGTAAGATGTGCCTGCTTCCCCTTTGTGCCTTCTGCCATGATTATAAGTTTCCTGAGGCCTCTCCAGAAGCAGAAGCCACTAGGCTTTCTATATATCATGCAGAACCATGAGCCAATTAAACCTCTTTTCTTTATAAATTACCCAGTCTCAGGTATTTTGTTATAGCAATGTGAGAACAGACTAATACACATGGCTATTCAAATACTTTGCCCATTTTTTAAATCAGATTTTGCATTTTTCCCTTTAGAGTTATTTGAGTTCCTTATATATGCTGGTTATTAACCCCTTGTCTTATGGGTAGGTTGCAAATATTTTCTCCCATCCTGTGATTCGTCTATTCACTTTGTTGATTGTTTTCATTACTGTGCAGACGCCTTTTAACTTGATGTGATACAACTTGTCCATTTTTGTTTTGGTTGCCTGTGTTTGTGGATATTACTCAAAAGTATTTTTGCCCAGACCAATGTCCTGCAAGTTCCCCAATGTTTTCTTATAGCAGTTTCTTAGTTTAAGGTCTTAGATTTAAGTCTTCAATCCATTTTGATTTGATTTTTACATGGCAAGAGATAGGCTCTAGTTTAATTCTTCTGCATATGAATATGCAGTTTTTCCCAGGACCATTGATTGAAGAGACTCTTTTCTCCAGTGTATGTTCCTGGCACCTTTGTTAAAAATGAGTTCACTGCAGGTGTGTGGATTCATTTCTGAGTTCTCTATTCTGTTCCACTGGTCTATGTGTCTGTTTTTATGCCAGTACCATGCTGTTCTGGTTATTACAGCTCTTTAGTATAATTTGAAGTCAGTTAATGTGATCCCTCCAGTTTTGTTCTTTTTTTTTAGGATAACTTTGGCTATCCTGGGTCTTTAATTGTTCTATGTAAGTTTTATGATTGATTTATCTATTTCTCTGAAGAATGTCATTGGTTTTTTGATAGAGATTGTATTGAATCTGTAGATTGCTTTGGGTCGCATGGACATTTTAACAACATTAATTCTTCTAATCCATGAACATGGACTATTTTTCCATTTTTATGGTGTCCACTTCAATTTCTTTCATCAGTGTTTTATAGTTTTTATTGTAAAGAATTTTACCTTTTTGGTTAATTCCAAGGTGTTTAATTTTATGTGTGGCTACTATAAATGGGATGACTTTCTTAATTTCTCTTTCAGAGTGTTCACTGTTGTCATATAGAAATGCTACTGATTTTTGTGTGTGGTTTTGTATTCTGCAACTTTACTTAATTTATCAGTTCTAACAGCTTTTGATGGAGTCTTTAGGTTTTTCTAAATATGAGATCATATTGTCTGCAAACAACACTAATTTGATTTTTTTCCTTCCAATTTGAATGCCCTTTATTTCTTTCTCTTGTCTGATTGCTCTAGCTAGGACTCCCAGTATTACGTTGAATAACAGTGATGAAAATGGGCATTCTTCTCATCTTCTAGATCTTAGAGGAAAAGCTTTCAGTTTTTTTCCCATTCAGTATGATACTAGCTGTAAGTCTGTCACATATGCCTTTTATTACGTTGGGGTATGTTCCTTCCTTACCCAGTTTTTTTAGTTTTTTTTTCATCAAGGGCTGTTGAATTTTATCATATGCTTTTTCAGCATTAATTGCAATGATATCATTTTTGTCCTTCATTCTGTTGATATGATGTATTATATTGAGTGAGTTGCATACGTTGAACCACCCTTACATCTCAGGGATAAATCCCACTTGGCCATGATGAATGATCTTTTTAATGTACTGTTGAATTCAGTGTGTTAGTATTTCATTGAGAATTTTTGCATCAATATTAATCAGAGACATTGGCCTGCAGTTTTTTAAATATGTCTTTGATTTTGGTTTCAGGGTAATACTGGCCTTTAGAATGAATTTTAAAGCATTCCATTCTCCTCTACTTTTCAGAATAGTTTGAGTATGATCGGTATTCGTTCTTTTTAAATGTTTGGTAGAATTCAGCAGTGATGCCATTGGGTACTAGGCTTTTCTTCACTGGAAGTCATTATTTGGGTACCAGGCTTTTCTTCATTATTGGGTATCAGGCTTTTCTTCACTGGAAGTCATTATTTGTTTTTGGTCTGCACAGGTTTTGGATTTCTTCATGGTTCAATTTGGTAGGTTGTGTCAAGGAATCCATTTCTTCTAGATTTTCCAATTTATTGGTGTATAGTTGCTCATAATGGTTACTAATAATCCTTTGAATTTTCGAATTTCTGCAGTATAAGGTGTAATGTCTTCCTTTTTTATGTCTAATTTTATTTATTTGAGTCTTCCTTCTTTATTCCTTAGTCTGGTTGCAGGTATGTTAATTTTGTCTAACTTTTCGAAAAACCAACTTTTTGTTTATTGATCTTCTGTATTGGTTTTTTCATTTCAATTTCATTTATTTCTGCTCTGATCATTATTATTTCTTTTCTTCTACTAATTTTGTGTTTGGTTTGTACTTGCTTTTCTAGTTCTTTAACTAGATTATTTGAAGTTTTTCTTTTTTTCTGATGTAAGCACTTATTACTATTAGTGCTGTCTTTAATGTGTCCCATAGGTTTTCGTGTCTTCTATTTCCATTATAATTTGTTTCAGCAAATTTTTCAGTTTCCTTCTTTATTTCTTCATTGACCCACTGGTCATTAAGGAGCATATATTTAATTTCCATGTTTTCAAATAGTTTCCAAAATTCCTCTTATTTTATGTATTTATTTAGAGACAGAGTCTTGCTCTGTTGCCCAGGCTGGAGTCCAGTAGTATGAGCTTGGCTCACTGCAACATCTGCCTCCTGGGTTCAAGCAATTCTCCTGCCTCAGCCTCCCAGTGGCTGGGATTACAGGCTTGTGCCACCATGCCCGGCTAATTTTTGTATTTTTAGTAGAGACAGGGTTTCACCCTGTTGGCCAGTGTGGGAAAGAGTTTCTAGGGTGCCACTTGAGTTGGTCTCCCCTGTATGAGACACCCATGGGAAGCCATGGGTGGCCTCTGAGCAGAAAAGTCTCCTTATTGCCTTCATGTCTTTATACCCTGAGAGCATAACAGCTCAGCGGCATTCCACAGGTTGCTCAGGGAGATAACACTCCCTTGAAGCAGTGGAGTATAATCAAACATCTGGGCTTCTCCTGAACCCCACTCCCACCCATTTCAGTCCCAATAAGTTTAAGATCTTAAGTAGTTTAGACACATGCCTTTGCTCAAGGAAAATTCACAGAAACTGCCACTGCTATACATCTTATCGAATGACTCATGAATTCTCCTTCACTGATTAATCCTTTTCCTCATCCCTTTCTCTCCCTCCCATCTGCCCTAAGAGTAAAGAGCTTGTAAACCAATAAATTGGGCAGAGCCTGAGAGCTCTGGGCCCTGAGCAAACCTCCGATGCTCCGGCTCCCTGGACCCGCCTTTTAAATGCTTATTCTGTCTCTTTCTAACTCCTTTGTGTCTGCCGGAATTGGGGTGCCCACTGGGTGGTGTGGGGATGGTTTCCAGAACAGGCCAGGCTGGTCACAAACTCCTGACCTCAAGTGATCTGCCTGCTTCGGCCTCCCAAAGTGCTGGGAATACAGGCGTGAGCCACCATGCCCAGTCCTTCTTGCTATTGATTTCTAGTTTTATTCCACTGTGGTCACAGAAAATGATTGATATTACTTCAATTTTTTGAATATTTTAAGACTTGTTTTGTGATATAACATACAGTCTATCCTTGAGAATAATTAATATTGTGAGGAAAAGAGTGTGAATTCTGCAGCTGTTGGATGAAACGTTCTGTAAATACCTATTAGGTCCATTTGGTCTATATTGTAGATTAAGTTCAATGTTTCTTTTATATATATATATATATATACACACACACACATATATATACACACACATATATACATATATATACACACACATATATACATATATATACACACACATATATATACATATATATACACACACACACATATATATATGTATTTTAAATTTATAGAGATAGGGTCTCACTGTGTTGCCCAGGCTGGTCTCAAGTTCCTGGGCTCAAATGATCCTCCTGCCTTGGCCTTCCTACGTGCAGGGATTACAGGTGTAAGCCACCATGTCAAGCCTAAGTTTTATGTTTCTTTGTTGATTTTCTATCTGGAAGATCTATTCAATGCTGAAAGTGGGATGTTAAAGTCTCTAGTCATTATTGTATTGGGGTCTATCTCTCTCTTTAATTCTAATAATATTTGCTTTATGTATCTGGGTCCTCAAGTATTAGGTGTATATATATTTAACATTGTTATATTCTCTTGCTGAATTGACCCCTTTATCATTATATAGTGGCTTTCTTTCTCTTTGTATAGTTTTTCTTTAGAAATCTCTTTTGGCTGATATAAATATGGCTACTCTTGCTGTTTTTGGTCTTCATTGGCAAGGAATATCTTTTTCATCCCTTTATTTTTAGTTTACGTGTGTCTTTACAGGTTGTAGGCAACAGATCGTTGGGTCTTGTTTTTGTGTCCATTCAGAGTCAGTCTATGTCTTTGAATTAGAAGGTCTAGTCCATTTAAATTTGATGTTATTATTGTTAAGTAAGGACTTACTCCTGCTATTTTGTTATTTGTTTTCTGGTTGATTTGTGGGCTTCTCTTCTTCTCTTCCTTCTTTCTTTTTCTTTCTGTCTTCCTTTTAGTTATGGTGGTTTTCTCTGGTGATAAAATTTAGTTTCTTGCTTTTTATTTTTGGTGTGTTCGTTGTATGTTTTTTGGTGTGAGGTTACCATAAGGCTTGCAAATACTATCTTATAACTCATTATTTTCAGCCGATAACAGCACTGTTTGCACAAAGAAACAAGCAAAAGGAAAAGAATAAAAAAGAATGAGACACATCTATAAGATCTAGAAAATAGCCTCAAAAGGGCAAATCTGAGAATTGTTGGCTATAAAGAGGTAGAGAAAGATAGAGGTAGAAAGATCATACAGAAAAACAACACAGAACTCCCCAAACCTAGAGAAACATACCAATATCCAACTAAAGAAGGTTACACATTAGAACATCAAGCAGATTTAACCCAAAGAAGACTACCTCAAGGCATTTAATAATCAAACTCCCAAAAGTCAACAATAAAGAAAGGATCCTAAAAGAAGCGAGAGAAAAGAAACAACACACAATAGAGCTTCAATATGTCTGGCAGCAGACTTTTTAGTGGAAACCTTATAAGCCAGAAGAGAATGGCATGATATATTTAACATGCTGAAGAAGGAAAAAAAAAAAAAACCTTTTATCCTAGAGTAGTATATCTGGCAAAAATACTCTTCAAATTCTCTGTCTGAATTTTGAATTCTCTGTCTGAAAGGCCACATATCTCTGTTTCTCCAGGATTGATCTCTGTTGCCTTATTTAATTCATTTGGTGAGGTCATGTTTTCCTGGATGATCTTGATACTTGTAAATGTCTGTCTGTGCCCAGGCATTGAATAATTAGGTATTTATTGTAGTCTTTATAGTCTGGGCTTGTTTGTTCCCATTCTTCTTGGGAAGGCTTTTCAGATATTCAAAAGGACTTGGGTGTTATGATCTAAGTTGTATCTGCTTTAGGGGGCACCCTAAGCCCACTAATGCTGTGGTTCTTGCAGACTCATGGAAGTACTGCCTTGATGGTCTTCCACAAGATCTGGAAGAATTCTCTGATTTACAAGGCAAAGAGTCTTGTTTTCTCTTCTTACTTTCTTCTAAACAGTCTCTCTTTCTTTCTGTTTTGAGCCACCTGGAGCTGGCAGTGGGGTGACACAAGTACTCCTATGGCCACCGCTTCTAGAGCTGTGCTGGGTCAGTCCCAAAACAAGCACAGAACTGGGTCTCACCCAAGGCCTCCTGTAACCCCTTTCTTGCTACAGCCTTTGTTTGCTCAAAGCTCTGGGGCTCCACAATCAGCATGTGGCAAAGTCAGCCAAGCCTATGTTTGTTCCTTCAGCGTGGTGAGCTCCCCCAGGCCAGGGACATGTCCAGAGGTGCTATCTGGGAGGCAAGGACTAATGTCAAAAACCTTAGAAGACTACCTAGTGTAATACTGTTCTGCAGCTGAACTAGCGCTCCAGCCACAAGATGTAGTTCCCATTCTTCCTCCCTTTTCCAAAGGCAGAGGACCCTCACCCCATGGCCACCAGCACAGGCCCATGGGCAGTATTACAACACTGCTGCTGATGTCCCCTGAAGGCCCAAGGGCTCTCCATCCAGCTTGTGGCAAATTTTGCCTGACCTAGACTCACCCTTCAGGGCAGCAGGCTCCCCTGTGGTCCAGGGCACATCCAGAAATGCCATCTGTGTTAATTTATTCTTACATTGCAAAACATAATCATGCCTTCCCAACAGTGCCCCAAAGTCTAAACTCATCCCAGAATTAACTCAAAAGTCCAAAGTCCAAATTCTCATCTATGACAAAGCAAGTCTCTTCCACCTATGAACTTGTAAAATAAAAAACAAGTTAGTTACTCCCAAGATACAATGGGGGCATAGGCATTGGGTAAATACTCCTGTTCCAAAAGGGAGACATTGGCCAAAAGAAAGGGGCTCCTAGCCCCATGCAAGTTTGAAACCCAGCAGGGCAGTCATAAATCTTAAAGCTCCAAAATAATTTCTTTTGACTTTATGTCTCAAATCCGTAGCACACTGGTGCAAGGGATGGGCTCCCAAGACCCTGGGCAGCTCCACCCCTGTGACTTTGCAGGGTTTGCCCCCAGTGGCTGATCTCACAAACTGGTGTTGATTGCCTGCACCATTTCCAGACACAGGGAGTAAGCTGCCAGTGGATCTACCATTCCAGGGTCTAGAGGGTGGTGGCTCCCTTCTTACAGCTCCACTAGGCAGTGACCCAGAGGGGACTCTGTGTGGGGGCTACACATTTCCCCTCCACACTGCCCTAGTAGAGGTTCCCCATGTGGGATCTGCCTCTGCAGCAGGCTTCCACCTGAATACCCAGGCTTTCCCACATATCCTCTGAAATCCAGGTGGAGGCTCCCAGGCCTCAACTCTTGTACTCTGTGCACCCACAGGCTTGACACCACGTGGAAGCCACCAGGCTTACAGCTTGCACCCTCTGAAGCAGTGGCCTGAACTGTGCCTGGGCCTTTTTGAGCCAAGGCTGGAACTGGAATGGGTGGGATGCAGGGAGTTGTGTCCCAAGGCTGTGCAGGGTGAGCCCTGGTCATGTTACATAAAACCATTTTTCCCTCCTAAGCCTTTGGGCCTGTGATGGGAGGGGCTCTTGCCAAGGTCTCTGAAATGCCTTTGAGGCCTTTTCCCTATTGTCTTAGCTATCAGCACTTGACTCATTTCTACTTATGCAAATTTCTACAGCATGCTTGAATTCCTCCCCTGAAAATGGACTTTTCTTATTTCTTCTTTAAAAAAAAAAAAAAAAGGAATACACGTGCAGAATGTGCAGGTTTGTTACATAGGTATACGTGTGCCATGGTGGTTTGCTACACCTATTGACCCATCTTCTAAGTTCCCTCCCCTCACCCCACAGACCCCAGCAGGCCCTGGTGTGTGTTGTTCCCCTCTTTGTGTCCATGTGTTCTCATTGTTCAACTCCCACTTATGAGTGAGAACATGCAGTGTTTGGTTTTCTCTTCCTGTGTGTCAGTTTGCTGGGGATGATGGCTTCCAGCTTCATCCATGTCTCTGCAAAGGATATTATCTCATTCCTTTTCATGGCAGCATAGTATTCTATGGTGCATATGTACCACATTTTCTTTATCCAGTCTATCCTTGATGGGCATTTGGGTTTGATCCATGTCTTTGCTATTGTAAATAGTGCTGTAATAAACATACATGTGCATGTGTCTTTATAGTACAGTGATTTATATTCCTTTGGGTATATACCCAGTAATGGGATTGCTGGGTCAAATGGTATTTCTGGTTCTACATCCTTGAGGAATCACCATACTGTTTTTCACAATGGTTGAACTAATTTACAGTCCCAACAATGTAAAAGCGTTCCTATTTCTCCACATCCTCTACAACATCTGTTGTTTCCTGACTTTTTAAAAATCGCCTTTCTAATATGAGATGGTATCTCATTATGGTTTTGATTTGCATTTCTCTGATGATCAGTGATGTTGACCTTTTCTTGTTTTTTGGCCACATAAATTTCTTCTTTTGAAAAGTGTCTGTTCATATGTTTTGCCCACTTTTTGATGGGGTTGTTTGTTTTTTTCTTGTAGATTTAAGTTCCTTGTAAATTCTGGATATTAACCCTTTGTCAGGTGGGTAGATTGCAAAAATTTTCTCCCATTCTATAGGTTGCCTGTTTACTCTGATGCTAGTTTCTTTTGCTGTGCAGAAGCTGTTTAATTAGATCCCATTTGTAAATTTTGGCTTTTGTTGCAACTGTTTTTGGTGTTTTAGTCATGAAGTCTTTGCCCATGCCTATGTCCTGAATGGTATTGCCTAGGTTTTCTTCTAGGGTTTTTCTGGTTTTGGGTTTTACATTTAAGTCTTTAATCCATCTTGAGTTAATTTTTATATAAGGTGTAAAGAAGGGGTCCAGTTTCAGTTTTCTGCATATGGCTAGCCAGTTTTTGGGCTTTTCTTTTCTACCACATGGCCATGCTGCAAATTTTCCAAACTGTTATGCTCTGCATCCCCTTTAAATATAAGTTCCAACTTTAGATCATTTCTTTGCTCATGCATATAAGCATAAGCTTTTGGAAGCAACCACTCTACTTCTTGAATGTTTTGTTGTTCAGAAATGTCTACCACCAGATACACTAAATCATCATTCTCAAGTTCAAAGCTCCACAAATTTCTAGGGCAGATACACAAAGCAGCCAAGTTCTTTGCTAAGGCATAACAAAAGTGACCTTTGCTCCATTTCTTAATAAGCTCCTCATTTCCATCTGACAGCCTGGACTTTCATGTCCCTATCACTATCAGCATTTTGGACACAACCATTTAACCAATCTGTAGGATATTCCAAACTTTCCATCATCTTCCTGTCTTCTTCTGAACCCTACAAACTCTTCCAACTTCTGCCTGTTACCCAGTTTCAAAGTCACTTCATATTTTCAGGTATCTTTATAGCAATGCCCCACTCCTCAGTACCAATTTTCTGTATTAGGCTGTTCTTGCATTGCCATAAACAAACATCTGAAACTGGTTAATGTATAGTAAAAAGAGGCTCAATTGGCTCAGGATTCCACAGGCTGTACAGGAAGCATGATGCTGGCAACTGCTTAGCTTCTGGGGAGGCCTCTGGAAACTTACAGTCATGGTGGAAGATGAAGGGGGAGCAGGCATGTCACATGGCCACAGCAGCAAGAGAAAGATGGGGGAGGGGCTACATGCTTTTAAATAACCAGATCTCATGAGAACTCACTCACTATTGTGATGACAGTACCAAGGGGGGATAGTGTTAAATTATTCATGAGAAACCACCCCCATGATCTAGTCACCTCTCACCAGGCCCCACCTCCAACTTTAGGAATTACAACTGAACATGAGATTTGGGTGAGGACACAGATCCAAGCCATATCACCATAAAAAACCCAAGTCCTTGAATTGAGGACCCCAAGAGCCTGCTTGGTGCTCTACTCCCCTGTTGCCAAGCTGGTACCTAAGGTGCAAAATAAAGTCCCCTTTACTTTTCCCTCTGCTTTTCTCAAGCAGAAGGAGTCTTGCCCCATAGCCGCACAGATGGTAATGTGCCGAGTCTCACCTAAAACCAGAACATCTCAGAGTCTCACCATGACTTACTGCCTGGGTATCATGCTCCTTATTCAGGGCCCAAGGGCTCTTCAGTTAGTGGGTGATGATTCCTGGCAGGCCTGTGTTCTTCCTTTCAAGGTACTGGGTTCCCTTCTGAACCCACGTGTGTCTAGAAATGTCCAGGAGCCAGGGCTTGGAAAAGGGGCCTCACAACTCTGACTGGTACCCTATTCTGCCGTGGTTGGGTTGGTATCCAAGGTAAAGACAAAGTCCTACCACTCTTCCCTTTCCTCTCCTCAAGTGGAAGTAAGTGTTCTCTTTTAGAACTACAAACTCTGCAGCCTGGGTGTGGGGAAGGGGTAATGCCAGCACTCCCTTAATCACTTTTAGAACTACAAACTCTGCAGCCTGGGTGTAGGGAGGAGTAATGCCAGCACTCCCTTAATTGCTCCAGCTGGTGTCTCAGTGGGTCATGTGCCCCCACAGCCCACTGGCTATGAGCCCAGTTCAGCACAGGAACTTGCCTAGGAGTTGCAGCCCTTGTAGCCTAGAATGCCTTTCAAGTTTATTTAGGGCCCTGGAGCACTTTAGCCTGTGGCAGTGAGGCTTGCAGGTTCTGACTGCTGGGATTGGCGATTTCCCTCTGGCTAGAGCTTGTTTATATGCTCCTTCCATTGATGGGCATCAGCTGAGTTTTGTTCCATTTTGTTTTCTGCTCTAACAGGGCAGCACTGAGTTCAATGCCTCACAGTTGTTGCACTTTGCCTCTCTCCAGTGCACAGAATCACTCTCCGCACCATGCCACAGCTGCTTGGGAATGGGGGAGGGATGGTGTTTGTGATTCAAGACTGTTTTTCCTACCTCTTCAATGCCTCTTTCAGCAATATGAAGTTAAAACCAGGTACTGTGAGTTCACAGTTGATTTTTAGTTCTTATAAAGGTGGTTTTTTTTGTAGATGTTAAATTGGTGTCCTCGCAGGAGAATGATTAGTGAAGCCTGTTCTGCCGTCTTGCTCTGCCCTTCCCTTAATTTTGCTTCATGCTTAATTTTTACTTATGTTTACTTATAGTTTTACTACACTTAAATGTGACTTATGCTTAATATTACTAAGCAGATTAGTTTAAAAACTCTATGTAGTCAAATATATTAATATTTTCCTTCATTGTTTCAGGATTTGAGACATAGTGAGAAAGTTTTCCATGCTCCCATTTATACAATGATTCATCTATGCATTTTATTCTGGCATTTTTTTTTTTAATTAGAATGGAATATATGGAAACTTTGCTATTTGCATGCATTTACTTTTATGGTTTATAATATGATTTAAGCTTTATTCTTATCCATATTACTATCTAGTTATTCCCACATGACTTGTCTTAATATGTCTTCCCCCATTGCTTTAGATATCACCATACATTTATTCGTTTTTCAAGTGGATCTATTTTCCTTTTTCTAGATTGGTTAATCTCTTTCACTGGAAAGTCTATTATTTTTAATAAGCTAATGGTTTACATTTATAACATTTTATAGAAGGTTTTTTCATTGATGTTAATAAATATGAATGATCTGCTGTTTTTTTTCTTTTGATACCATCTTTGTTAGTATTTGGTACCAACGTTCTATTTACTTCATAAAACATATTTGGAATTTGATTATATAAATGTATCCAATTATGACATCTACCCCAAAAATACACACATCTATTACATATCAATAAAAGGTAAAATTTTTTTTAAGTTTGCAAGTTTTCCTTTTTTTCTCAAAAAACCAATTTTATAATATTGATATTTTTAAACAATTAAGGATTTCTTTATGACTAATATTTACTCTATTTTAGAAGTATTTTGTGCTACATAAAAATAATTTTATTTTTGTTTAGTTTATACTTATTCATTTGAGATTAATAATCATGCCTTTGAAAATTTTTAGTGTCTAGGAAGTCTTATTTAGCTGAATATATCCATCAGTCCTTAGGGGTATAGGCTAAATTTCCTCCCATAGGCAAAAATGTGGATGATTGACATGGAGAAAAGCAGCTCATAACAGTCATCTAATAATAGTGACATGGAAGAGGACTCCTCCAAGGGAGCTGTGCAGTTGGCAGGCAAGCTTATGAGGATCACACTGAGAAGGGCTCAGCAGGCATGAAGGCCTGGAGTGCTTTTAGCACTGTTGCAATGGAAAGGAGGGGGTTGCTCTCAGATGTCTCATGGTTTCTTCAGCTAGTGGAAGTCCTCAGAGGAGAACAGAAGATGGTCCCCACATCGTAAGGTGTGTAGGCCAAGTAATTATATGCCTCCTTTATGTTTTCTTGTCAGTATGTTGAACTAGTGTGGTAACCTGGTTAATTATTGCCAACTCAGGATATAGGGAGGTTTAAACATCTTTGATTTACATAGAATCAGGGCAAGGATGAATCATGACTGAAAAAGTGTTGGGTCTAGCGTAAATATGCCTTGTGACTACGCAGACTTCATGTGAGAAAGTCTCTAAATAGGAGAGGTCACTGCAATAGGAATTGCCATGTTTCCTGTGAATGCCATAGGCTGCATATTGTTGGTTATGTAGACTAGCTAATGGCTCTCCCCTATAGGACCATAGCTAGCTAAATCCTACTGTTCTGCAGGGACGTGGTGGCCTCTGATGTAGGATGTCCATTATGGAGCTATTTCCATTCTATATGGGAGACTGAGGCGGGTGGATCACTTGAGGCCAGGACTTCGAGACCACCCTGGCCAACATGGTGAAACCCCATCTCTACTAAAAATACAAAAATTAGCCGGGCGCGGTGGCATGTGCCTGTAACCCCAGCTATTCAGGAAGCTGAGGCAAGAGAATCCCTTGAGCCTGGGGGGCAGAGGTTGCAGTGAGCTGAGATCATGCCACTGGATTCCAGCCTAGGTGACAGAGTGAGACTCCATCTCAAAAAAAAAAAAAAAAGCGAGTGGAATAGAATAGGAGACAAGTAGAGAGAATGTAATGGAATAGAATAGAAAGAATAGAATTGGGTTAAATTGAATTGAACAGAATGGTGTGAAGTGGAATAGAACAGAGTTGAATGAAATAGAATAGGAGTGGAGTGAAATGGAACAGAATGGAGTGGGATGGAATGGAGTAGGACAGGAGTGAAATAAAGCAGAATAGAGTTGACTAGACTGAAATATAATGGAATGGAGTGAAGTGGAATGTGGTGGAGTGGAGTAGAATAGAGTGGGAAGGAATGGAGTGCAGTGAAGTCGAGGGAGTGGAGTGGAAATGAATGGAATGGAATACAGTGGAAAGAAATGGAATAGATTAGAATGAAGTGGAATGGAATATATTAGAATCAATTAGAGTGTAATGGAATAGAGTAAGATAGAATGAAATAGAATTGAATAGGATGGAATGGAGTGGAATGGAATAGACAGAACGGAATGGAATGAAGGCAAGTGAAGTATAGTGAAAGACAATTGAATTGAACAGAATGATGTTGAGTAGAGTGGAATACAATGGAGCATAATGAAATAGAATGGAATGGAATAAGAATGGAGTGGAGTGGAATGGAATGTAATAGAGTAGAATAGAACAGAATGGAATGGAGTAAAATGAAATAGACTAGACTAGAATAAATTGAAATAAAATGGAGTGGTATAAAACAGAATATAATTGAACATAATAAACTAGAATGCAAAGGAGTGGAGTAGAATAGAGAGGAGTAGAATGGCATAGAATATAACAGAATGCAGTGGAAGGGAATTGAAAAGAATGAAATTGGCCAGGAACAGTGGTTCACGCCTGTAATCCCAGCACTTTGGGAGGCCGAGGTGGGCGGATCATGAGGTCAGCAGTTCGAGACCAGCCTGACCAACATGGTGAAACCCCGTCTCTACCAAAAATACAAAAATTAGCCAGGCGTGGTGGCACGTGCCTATAATCCCAGCTACTCGGGAGGCTGAGGCAGGAGAATCGCTTGAACCCGGGAGGCAGAGGTTTCAGTGAGCCGAGATCGCGCCACTGCACTCCAGCCTGGCAAAGATTGAGACTCCATCTCAAAAAAACAAAAAACAAACAAATAAAAAGAATGAAATTGAATAAAATAGAATAAATTGGAAAAAATGGGATGGATTGTAGTGAAACAGAATATAACTGAATAGAATATAATACAATGGAATGGAGTGGTGTGGAATAGTGAAGTAAAATGAAAAAGAATGGAAGAGAATAGAAAGAATAGAATAAAATGGGATGGAGTGAAATGAAGGGAGTGAAGTATAATGGAAGGGAGGGGAATAGAATAGAATGGAGTGGAGTGGAGTAAAATGAAATGAAATAGTATAGAATGAAATGGAATAGAATAAGCAAAATGAAATAGAGTGGAGTAGAATGGGGTAGGATAGAATAAGACAAAATGAAGTAGAGTGGTGTGTAATGGAATAGAACAGACTAGAATAGACCAGAATAGAACAGAACGGAGTGCAGTGGGATGGAAACAAATGAAGTAGAACGGAATAAGTGAAATGGAATGGAGAGGAGTTGAGTGAGCTGGAGTAGACTGAACTGAGAGGAGTGGAGGGCTGCATCTTGTAAGGGACCTTCTTTCTAGTGGAGACTCTGCAGAGTTCCAAGGTAGGCCAGGGCATCACATAGCAACGGGGTTGAGTGCGATAGCTCAGGTCTCTCTTCCTTTACTTATTAAGCTGCCAGCTCCATTCCTATGATAACCCATTAATCAGGTAATCCATGAATGAGTAACTCATTCATGAGAGCAGAGGCCTCATGGTACAATCACCTCCTAAAAAGGTCCCATTTCTCAACACTGCCACATTGGGAATTAGGTTTCAACATGAGTTTTTGTGGGGACAAGCCATATTCAAACCACAGCACTGGGACAGTACATTCTCCCTTTAATGTTGAAGGGATAGAGATTGCCTAGGACATACAGCAGAGAAATCCACCAAGAAGAAAATGGTTTTTTTGTTTGTTTTGAAACAGGTCTTGCTCTGTCACCCAGGCTGGAGAGTAGTGGCACGATCTCAGCTCACTGCAGCCTCGGACTCCCAGGCTCAAGGGATCCTCCCGTGTCAGCCTGGGAGTCAGGCTGATTTCCATTCAGTCAGTAACTGGGATTACAGGTGCATGCCACCACGCCTGGCTAATTTTTATATAAAAAAGTTTTTAAGGCTGGGCATGGTGGCTCACACCCGTAATCCCAGCACTTTGGGAGGCTGAGGTGGGCAGATCACGAGGTCAGGAGTTTGAGACCAGCCTGGCCAGCATGAAGAAACCGCGTCTCTACTAAAAATACAGAAAAAAAAAAAAAAAAAAAAAAAAAAAAAAAAAAAAGCCAGGCGTGGTGGCAGGCGCCTGTAGTCCCAGCTACTCAAGAGGCTGAGGCAGGAGAATTTCTTTCTTTCTTTCTTTTTTTTTTTTTGAGACGGAGTCTCGCTCTGTCGCCCAGGCCGGACGGCAGGAGAATTTCTTGAACCCCAGAGGCGGAGGTTACAGTGAGCCGAGATCACGCCACTGCACTCCGGCCTGGGCGACAGAGCAAGACTCCGTCTCAACAACAACAACAACAACAACAAAAAAAAAAAAAAAAAAGAAAGAAAAGAAAAGTATTTAAATTTAATTCAATGTTTAAAAATGTACTCAGGGCCGGGCGCGGTGGCTCACGCCTGTAATCCCAGCACTTTGGGAGGCTGAGGCGGGTGGATCACGAGGCCAGGAGATCAAGACCGTCCTGGCTAACACAGTGAAACCGTCTCTACTAAAAAATACAAAAAATTAGCTGAGCGTAGTGGCGGGCTCCTGTAGTTTCAGCTACTCTGGAGGTTGAGGCAGGAGAATGGTGTGAACCCGGGAGGCGGGGCTTGCAGTGAGCCGAGATCGCGCCACAGCACTCCAGCCTGGGCGACAGAGCGAGACTCCGTCTCAAAAAGAAAAAAAAAAAAATTAACTCAGGGGCTGGGCACTGTGGCTCATGCCTGTAATTCCAGCATTTTGGGAGGCCGAGGCAGGTAGATTATCTGAGGTCAGGAGTTCAAGCCCAGCCTGACTAACATGGTGAAACCCCATCTCTACTAAAAAAAGTACAAAAATTAGCCGGGTGTGGTTGCATGTGCCTGTAATCCCAGCTACTCGGGAGGCTGAGGCAGGGGAATCACTTGAACCCGGGAGGTTGAGGCTGCAGTGAGCTGAGATGGCGCCACTGCACTCCAATCTGGATGACAGAGCGAGACTCCACCTCCAAAAAACAAACAAACAAACAGACAACAACAACAACAAAAAAACAGTACTCAGGCTGGGCGTGGTGGCTTACGCTTGTAATCCCAATACTTTGGGAGGCCAAGGCAGGCAGATCACTTGAGGTCAGGAGTTCAAGACTAGTCTGGTCAACATGGCGAAATCCCATCTCTGCTAAAAATATAAAAATTAGCCAGACGTGATGTTGTGTGCCTGTAATACCAGCTACTAGGGAGGCTGAGGCAGGAGAATCGTTTGAACTCAGGAGGTGGAGGTTGCAGTGAGCCGAAATCATGTCATTGCACTCCAGTATGGGCAACAGAGCAAGACTCTGTCTCCAAAAAAAAGAAAAAAAGAAAAAAAAAAAAACCTTCAAAATTCAAAAGGACAAACCAAAATAACACGAAAAATCTCCCTGTGACCTTTTATCACCTAGACCTTCAGTTCCGTTTTCCAGAGGAAATGATGTTAACATTGCTATGTAAATCTCTCAAAAATATTTTATACATACAATAGCATGTATATATAGCATATATAACTATAGATGTGTGTTGTATTAATTTCCTATTGGTGCTATAAAAATTACCACAAATTTAATTGTTTAAAATAAAATATATTTAGGCTGAGCATGGTGGCTCACGCCTGTATTCCCAGCACTTTGGGAGGCCGAGGCGGGCAGATCACCTGAGGTCGGGAGTTTGAGACCAGCCTGAGCAACATGGAGAAACCCCGTCTCTACTAAAAATACAAAATTATGCGGGTGTGGTGGCGCATGCCTGTAGTCCCAGCTACTCGGGAGGCTGAAGCAGGAGAATTCCCTTGAACCTGGGAGGTGGAGGTTGCAGTGAGCTGAGATCGTGCCATTGCACTCCAGCCTGGGCAACAAGAATGAAACTCTGTCTCAAAATAAATACATAAATAAATAAGATATATTTATTATCTTGCAATTCTGGAGTCAGACATCTCACATGGGCCACAGTGGGCTACAAATCAAGATGTCGGCCGAGCCTGATGGCTCATGCCTATAATGTCAGTGCTTTCAGAGGCCTAGGCAGGAGGATCACTTGAGCCCAGGAGTTCAAGGCCAGCCTGTGCAACATAGCGAGACCCCCATCTCTACAAAAAAAATTTTCTTAACTAGCCAGGTGTAGTGGCACACACCTGTAGTCCAGAGGCTGAGATGGGAGGACTGCTTGAGTCCAGGAGTTCAAGGTTGCAGTAAGCCATGATCATGCCACTGCACTCCAGCCTGGGTGACAGAGGGAGAACTAGTATCAAAAAAAAAAAAAGAAAAGAAAGAAAAGAAAAAGAAAACATAAATAAAGAAAAGCACATATGCAATATATGCAATGTTAGTTAAACAGATGAGTTGATTAGACACGTTTGTTTATTTATTTTTATTTATTCATTTTTGTTTGAGACAGAATCTCATTGTCGTTGCCCAGGCTGGAACGCAGGGGCATGATCATGGCTCACTGCAGCCTCAACTCCCTGGGCTCAAGCGATCCTCCCACCTTAGCCTCCTGAGTAGCTGACTACAGGTGCTCACCACCACAGCCAGCTAATTTTTTGTATTTTTAGTAGAGACTGGGTTTCACCACATTATCCAGGTTGGTCTCGAACTCCTGGGCTCAAGTGATCTGCCCGTCTTGGCCTCCCAAAGTGCTGGTTACAGGTATTTGCCGTGGCACCTGGCCTGTTTATTTAGTTTTGAGATGAGGTCTGGCAATGTGACCCAGGCTGGACTTGAACTCTGGGCTTAAACCATCCTCCAGCTTCAGCCTCCTGAGTAGTTGGGACTACAGGCTTGCACCACCACACCCAGAATATTATTAAACACCCCCCAAATCCAGGTGCTTTTTTTAGCCTGCGTGACAAAGACATGAGCTCACGATTATTACAGCATCCAGCCGAACAGCAAGGATTCAAAATGAATATGGGAAGATATCTCCCCAAATCACTGTCTTATTTTGTCTTATGACTACAGCATTTCTGATTCTTAATTTATTCACAGACCACTTTCATTACATCGCCACTGCGAATACCACCTGTACTGTGTCAAGTACAAAAAAAACTCCAGACTTGGTAAGGAGTCACTTTATAGAAAAGGATTATTACAAGAGGAAGGGGAAGGGGCTGTTGTAATAGGAAGAGGGGGACTATTTCAATAGGGAGAACGCTCCTAAAATGAAATCTGCCAGCATCTCAAAGGTTGGGTAGAAAGGGGTTTTTCTTCTAGAGGGAAGAGTGACTAAAGCTAAGAAGAATGAAGTGTGGGGAAATGGGAGGAGCCTCATGAAGGGATGGGTGGGAGGTGGGGTGAATGGAGAGTAGATAGAGAATGTTTTATCCAGCGTCCAGCCTGTTCTCTGGAGGGGCTGTCTGCTGCTCCAGGCTGAGGGTGGGTCCAGGATCAGGGGCCCGGGAGAAGGAGAGTTTGGCTAACCAGCACTCTGTTCTGGTGGATCGGTGAGTACAGAGAGTCAGCCTAATCATTTGTGGGGCAATGAGTGGGAATTCGGAAGGTCTGTGTGTGGCCTTGTGCCAGGTCAACAAGGGGACATCTCTTAGAGAGATCTAAGTCATGTGAAGAAGGGAAGTTCTTTGCTGTGTCAACTAAATTAAGGCTGTGGAGGCAGACATAATTTGATAAATGTTTTGTAAATCAAAGAGTATCTGAGACAAGTCTCAGTCAATTTAGGAAGTTTATTTTGCCAAGGTTGAGGACACACCCGTGACACAGCCTCAGGAGGTCCTGATGACATGTGCCAAGGTGGTCGGGGCGCAGCTCAGTTTTATACATTTTAGGGAGGCATAGGACATCAATCAGCACATACAAAATGTCCATTGGTTCAGTCTGGAAAGGCAGGACAACTTGAAGCGAGGATGGGGCTTCCAGGTAATAGGTAGATAAGAGACAAAGGGTTGCATTCTTTTGAGTTTCTGATTAGCCTTTACAAAGGAAGTCATCAGATACGCATTTATCCCAGTGAGCAGAGGGATGACTTTGAGTTCTGTCTGTCCTCTGTCCACAAACTGTGAGGAAGGTATGTCATTTTTTTTACTTTTTTTTTTTTTTTTAAATCTTAGTAGCTATTTTTTTGGAATAGAAGGGGAGGCACGATGAGATTTGAGGAACTCAACGCAAAGATTTTTTACTCAGGGACAGGATGTAAGCCACGAATCATAAAACCTTCTCCAGGTAGTTAATTTGGACCTGTAGGTTATCAGCTGGAAGCCATTTCCAGGACACAAAGGGTAGGAAGATTGTTTTGATTCACACTCACAGGGCTCAGGTAAAAGTCACCATTGTCAACCAGTATACTTGAAGTTCTTCCTTTTAACAACTGCAATCAAGTTCTTTAAAGAAACTTCAGATTGCTCACACAAAAGGACAACCGGTAGCATTTGCCATAAAGAAAGGGTGTCTAAGGGCCAGGGGCGGTGGCTCACGCCTGTAATCTCACTTTGGGAGGCTGAGGCGGGTGGATCACGAGGTCAGGAGATCAAGACCATCCTGGCTAACACGGTGAAACCCCGTCTCTACTAAAAATAAAAAAATAAAAACATTAGCCAGGCGTGGTGGCGGGTGCCTGTATCCCAGCTACTCAGGAGGCTAAGGCAGGAGAATGGCATGAACCCAGGAGGCAGAGCTTGCAGTGAGCCGAGATCAAGCCACTGCACTCCAGCCTGGGCAACAGAGCGAGACTTCGTCTCAAAAAAAAAAAAGGTGCCTGAAGATGAACTCAAAACAAAGCAATGCTATTGAACTGTAGACACTGGAGTCCAGCTGGGTCTATGAGTTTGAGGTCATTAAATAATGGAGATTAGTAAGTGTCAAAGAAGCCATGAAGGCATCCTAGCACTGAAGAAGACTCACTGTGTGATCTCACCAGAAGAGTTGAAGAAAAGAATAACTTTTCAGTATGTAACTTTATGTTTTTAATACTATATCCATTTGCCAAACTAAAATTATCTCATTAATTCCCCACTTCGGGAATCCCAAACAATACATTAGGATGCCAGAGAAAATTTTCATAGCAGTTTTTTAAAAAGTAAACTTTAGTTTTTAGAAGAGAGCTTTAGACATTCAGAAAAATTGGTAAGATAATGCATAGAGTTCCCATAACCTCTGCACTCAGTTTCTTCTATTATTAGTATTTTATTAATGTATTTGTTGGATACACGTTATAATTAATGAATCAATGTAGATAACGTTATTAACTAAAGTCCATGCTTTGTTCAGATTTCCTCAGTTTTCACCTTATGTCTCTTTACTGTTTCGGGACATCGATCTAGGATGCCTCGTTGCACCCAGCTGTCCTGCCTCCTTAGTCTCTCCTTGACTGACAGTTTCTCAGACTTTCTTGTTTTTGATGACCTTGATGGTTTTGAGGTGCTGTGGTATTTTGTAAACTATCCCTCAATCAAGGTTTGTCTGATGATTTTCTTTTTTCTTTTTTTAAATAGAGACGAGATCTCACTATGTTGCCCAGGCTGGTCTGGAACTCATGGGCTCAAGAGATCCTCTTGCCTCAGCCTCCCAAAGTGCTGGGATTACAGGCATGAGCCACTTTGCCCAGTCTGTCTGATGATTTTCTCATGGTTAGATGAGAGTTTTGGGGGAGGAAGGTTTGGGGTTGAAAGACCACAGAGGTAAAGTGCCCTTCTCAGTACTTCATTCTCAAGGGTTCAAACTGTCAACTTGACTTATCATTGTTGATGTTGGCCTTGGTCACCTGCCTCAGGTAATGATTGTCAGGTTTGTCCATTATACAGTGACTCTTTCCTCCTTTCCACACTGTATAGATGGAGAGGCAGTCACTATAAACATTCCACACCTAAGGGCTGCAGTGCTATGCTACCACTCCTCGAGGGCAGATCATCTATGTAAATCATTTGGAGTTCTGCACAGATGATATCTACTCCCCATTTATTTATCCAACCCTTTGTTTATAACAGTACAAACTCCCTCTTGACTTTTAAATACCCAGCCAGCCCTCTGCATCCAGCCTCCCTTGTCTGCTTTTGTTTTTTGTTTGTTTTTGCTTTTTTTGCTATATGTATTAGTCCATTTGCACACTGCTATAAAGATACTACCTGAGACTGGGTAATTTTTAAATAAAAGAGGCTTAATTAACTCACAGATCCACATGTCTGTGGAGGCCTCAAGAAACTTACAATCATGGTGGTAGGAGAAGCAGGCACCTTCTTCACAAGGCAGCGAGAGAGAGAGAGAGAGAGAGAGAGAGAGAGAGAGAGAGAGGGAGAGAGGGAGACAAAGGAGGAACTTCCAAACACTTATAAAACCATCAGATCTCGCAAGAGCTCATTCACTATCATCAGAACAGCATGGGGGACACCCCCATGACCCAATCACCTGCCCCCCTTGACATATGGGGATTACAGGTTCCTCCCTCAACACACGAGGATTACAAATTGAGATGAGATTTGGGTAGGGACACAGAGCCAAACCATATCAATATAGGTTTTTGCTCTGTCACCCAGGCTGGAGTACAGTGGCATGATCAAGGGCTCAGTGCATCCTCCGCCTCCTGGGCTCAAACAATCCTTCCACCTCACCCTCCAGAGTATCTGGGACTACAGGCACATGCCACCATAACCAGCTACTTTTGTATTTTTTATAGAGATGAGGTTTTTCCATGTTGCCCAGGCTGGTCTCGAACTCCGGGGCTCAAGTGATCCACTGCCTTGGCCTCCCAAAGTGCTGGGATTACAAACCTGAGCCACCGCGCCTGGCCACTTGTCTGTGGGTGCTTTCTTCCCCAACCACCTCATCTACTCTCACAACTTCAATTACAGCAACAGGGCAAGACCCCCAACATTTCCCCAGCAGCCTAAAGCTCTCTCTGTTCTTTGGACTTGCATGTTCAGCTGTCTCCTGCCATGGCTACCCTTCCACTCTGCATGTTCCACACTGAACTCCTGCTGCAATATTCCTTCCTCCCCAAGACATCGCCCCTGTGCTCACGTAGAAACCTGGAAGTTTGCCTCCCAGCTTGCCACCCAAATACTTCTCAAATCTCTGTACTTCTCTTCACCCATATTGTTGCCTCCAAACTGCACCATGCTGGAATCTCACCTGTCCTAGCTCAGTGGCCTTGAAACTCACCTGAAATCCCCCAGTGCTGCCCTCTCCCCAGCATCCCACCATCTTCTCCCTTTTTCCCCACTGTCCCTCCCCCCTGCACCCCACTATCCTCTTATACCCCATTTTTCTCTCCTCTGCACCCCACTGCAGCGGGGCCACCTTTAAAAATACAAACCTTGGCCAGCAAGGTGGCTCACACTTGTAATCTCAGCACTTTGGGAGACTGAGGCCAGGAGTTCAAGACCAGTCTGGGCAACATGGTGAACCTTGTCTCTGCAAAAAAATAAATTAAAAAATTAGCCAGGCATGGTGAAGCATGCCTGTAGTCCCGGCTACTTGGGAGGCTGAGGTAGGAGGATAGCTTAAGCCCAGGAGTTCAAGGCTGCAATGAGCTATGATGGTGCCACTGCACTCCAGCCTGGATGAGAGAGTGAGATCCTGTCTCAAAAAATAAATAAAGTGGCCGGGCGCGGTGGCTCACGCCTGTAATCCCAGCACTTTGGGAGGCCGAGGAGGGCGGATCACGAGGTCAGGAGATCCAGACCATCCTGGCTAACACGGTGAAACCCCGTCTCTACTAAAAATACAAAAAATTAGCCGGGCGTGGTGGCGGGCGCCTGTAGTCCCAGCTACTCGGGAGGCTGAGGCAGAATGGCGGGAACCCGGGAGGCAGAGCTTGCAGTGAGCCCAGATCGCACCACTGCACTCCAGCCTGGGCGAAGCGAGACCCCAGCTCAAAAATAAATAAATAAATAAATAAATAAATAAATAAATAAATAAATAAAGTAAAAATGCAAACCTGGTTCTGCCACCTCCCTGCTGTGACGGGCTCTCAAGGTACATTCCAACAAGACCTGTTGCCACTCTGTCCCTTGTTCCCAAAGCTACACGGGTCCTCCTTAAGTCCTGCCACCCATGGACAGCCCTGCCTCCTCCCTTTCCTGTGCTGCCTTTTCTTCATCTTCCACATCTGCCTTTCAAAGTTACTTCTCCTGGAAGGCTTCTCTGACGCTACAGACTAAGGGAAAATTCCGTGATACATTTTCTATGTATTCCTAAACCGTAGCCCTTATCACAGGGGTAATTTAAAAATCACTTATTAGTGTTCATTACTTTATGCCTGAAAGGTTCTCCCCGGGGCCTGAAAGCTTAAGGGGATGAATAACTCCTCCCTCCTCAGGCCCAGTCCGGAGGCACAAGCCCACTTGCGCCAGCAGCGCGCCTCAGCAAGACAGCAGAAGCAGGAAGAGAGCCGGCCGGAAGACACTTACCCTGGCCGGAAGACATGTACCCCTGAGGATCGCGAGAGGCCATCCGGTTGCTGCGTAGCAGTCCCGTCAGACTGGAACACTTCCTGTTTACAGGACACTGTAAAACCCCTGCTCAGCACTCATTTGGTGCTGACGCCATTTTAGGTCTCATACCGTCTGCACCCAGGCGCCCAATAAAACAGCATGTTGCTCCACACCACCTTGTGTTGTTTGTTGGCGCGCTCCCGGGGTTCAAACAGATACAAGAACCTTTAATCTGGTGCCGAAACCCAGGAGGGGCTCAGGTCTGTGTCCCCTGTGGGCCTACCCCTGCACCCCGGAGAGTAGGCCACAGCAGCCGGACAAAGGAAGCTCCTCAGTCTCCAATCGCCTCTCTGTGCATGCACATCAGTCACTGATCTTGCCTACCTGTAAGTTTCCCTGGAGCCCCATTAACAGGGAAAAATCCACACAGCTTCTCTTGGTTTCTCTGGCCCGAAAATCCAACGTTGGTCCAAGAAGGCTCTGGCGTGTGCCAGGCACTCGCTGATCATCTGGTCTTAGGGGGTCGCCTCTAAGCCATTTGATCCCGTTCCAGGAACGAAAAAGGCAGCGGTGATGACTGCTTCTTTTATCGTCTCCCTCCAGCCATGCAGGACGGTCTCCTTTTCCCTGTTCTCCTGAGCCTACCCTCTGTTATGGGAAATTCTCAGTCTTCCTTTCCAAAGGACAGCCCGCTAGGCTACCTCATAAAAACCTGCAAACCTCAGGCCTCAGGCAAGATATCCGCCCTAAGCGCCTTGTCTTTTTTTCAATTCAGTCTGGCCACAGTACCAACTAGATAACGGGTCCAAATGGCCCGCAAATGGAACATTCGACTTTACAGTTTTACCTGACTTAAGCAATTATTTCCGACGACTGGAGAAATGGGGAGAGATTCCTTATGTCCTTCTGTCCAGGCCTTTTTGCACTCAGATCACAGCCCGACCTCTGCTGTTCTTGCTTACCTGTTTCTCCTCCATTCTTCCACCTTGATCGCGTTTCTCCTCCCAACCCTACCTCTTCTTCCTCGTTTGATCCAGCAGACTGCTGCCCACCCCTCCCAGCCCCTTCCTCTCCCTCTCAAATGTCTTTTTTAAACCCCCAAGCCTCCTCTTTATCTTCTCAGCCGCCACCTTCCCAGTCAGCAGTATCCACTTCTCTTCCGACACCGTCCCCTCCTCAGGACAATTCTAGTATTGCCTGTCCCCATTCTCCTTCATCACCGCCCTCTCTCCTGAGGCCCGTAAACCCATCCCGCCACCTTACACCCCTATCTATCCTCCGCCGCCTATTAACTCAACCCCTCTTCCCCCTTCAAACCCTCAGCAGGAACCACTTCCGGCTTTTCCTTCTCTCCCGCCCATACTCGCTCGGGCGCCATCTTCAGCCCATGCCCCACCTTTACTTCAGCGCCCCCTTCGGGAAGTAGCAGGAACTGAAGGTATTGTTAGAGTTCATGTTCCATTCTCCCTCACTGATCTCTCTCAAATTAACAAAAGACTTGATTCACTTCCAGAAGACCCTACCTCTTATATATGAGTTTCATACCTCACCCAGTCTTATGAACTAACCTGGCATGACCTCTACATTATCCTGTCTTCCACCCTCACCCCAGAAGACTGAGACCGTATCTGGACCCTAACTCAGGCACATGCTGATACAATTCATCACCAGGCTCCTGCGCAGCCTACTGGTGCAGAGGCAGTCCCCAAACAGGACCCCCTCTAGAATTATCAAGACGGGGCTTCTGGACGCCGCCATCGAGACCACATGATTGTGTGTCTCCTTGCAGGACTCAAAAAGGGTGCCCATAAAGCAGTCAACTATGAAAAACTTTCAGAAATCACCCAAGGTCCCGACGAAAACCCAGCCCTTTTTCTCTGTCGTTTAACTGAAGCCATGAGAAAGTATACCAACCTAGACCCAGCCAGCCCAGAAGGAACCACTATTTTAAACCTTCGATTCATCTCCCAATCCACCCCGATACCTGGCACAAGCTTCATAAGGTTGACAACGGCCCTCAAACCCCACAACTAGACTTTCTTAATTTAGCCTTCAAAGTCTTTAACAGTCATGATAAGGAAAGTAAAAGGCAAAAACAGGGAGAGTTTCAAATGCTTGCCTTTGCCATCAGGGGCCCTGCAGGCTCACGGGGCTGTGGCTCCACACGGAAGCCTCCTGGTAATCCACCTCCACCTGGCACCTGTTTCAAGTGTGGCAATGTAGGCCACTGGTCCAGACAATGCCCAAACCCGGCTAAGCCCACCAGGCTGTGCCCCCTCTGCAGAAAACCCCACTGGAAGTTGGACTGTAAGCGGCCCCTGTAAGGACCGCCCCCATCCCTTCCTGAGCCAGCCAAAAACCTCCTACTCTCATTGGCCTTGCTGCTGAAGACTGACGGTGCCCTGGAATGGATGCCCCAGCAACTACCATCGCTTCATCCGAGCCAAGGGTAACCCTGATGGTGGCAGGTAGGCCAGTATGTTTTTTAATTAATACCGGGCAACCTACTCTGCTTTACCTAATTTTTCAGGACCGACCCAGTCCTCCCAAGTCTCTGTTGTGGGAATTGATGGACAAGTCTCCAAACCCTGAGCCACCCTCCGCTCTTCTGCTCCCTTCACGCCTTTTCCCTCACTCACTCTTAGTCCTGCCCTCATGCCCAACTCCGCTTCTAGGCAGAGACATCCTTTCAAAACTCTACACTACTCTCCACTTCCACATTCCCCATGGCAGCCAACGCATCTGCCCAGACCCCTCCGGTACTTCTAGCTTTCTTCTACTCGTCCAACTTCCCACCCTAAAACATGCAACCTTTCCTTTTCCCCCATCCGTAGTTAACCCGGCTGTCTGGGATACTTCCACACCCTCAGTCGCAAAACACCACAGCCCCGTCCGCATTACCCTTAAAGAGCCCGCCCAGTTCCTGTCACAGAAGCAGTATCCCATCCCCCAAGCAGCTCTTACAGGCCTAAAGCCTATCGTTTCTCTCCTTCTCGTCAGTCACCTACTCTGCCCAACAGACTCCCCTTTTAACATATAGATTCTACCTGTTAAAAAACCAGATGGAACTTATCGCTTAGTCCAGGCCCTCAGGCTCATTAACCAAGCTGTACTCCCAGTATGCCCAGTATCTCCTCACCCATACACTTTACTTTCCACAATTCCCTCCAACACCACCCATTTTTCTGTTCTAAACCTAAAGGATGCTTTTTTCACAATTCCTTTACACCCTGATTCCCAAAACCTCTTTGCCTTTACGTGGGAAAACCCCGACACCCTTGGAGTCCCTGCGTATGATAACCAGAGAAAAACAGTCCTTAAAGGCAGGAGGAAGCCAAAGACCGTGAGAGGACGAGTGGCCTCCGCAACGGATCATCGAATATTACGGTCCTGCCACCTGGGCTGAGGATGGTTCACGGGGTTATCGCACTCCCACATATATGCTAAACAGAATAATTAGACTACAGGCTGCTCTAGAGATAATCACTAACCAAACCGCCCCAGCGCTGGAAATGCTCGCGTGACAACAAAACCAAACGCACCCAGCAATTTATCAAAACAGGCTGGCTCTAGACTACTTATTAGCAGAAGAGGGTGCGGTCTGTGGTAAGTTTAACATCTCCAATTGCTGTCTTAACATAGACGGTAACGGAAAAGCGGTTCTAGAAATCGCTTCAAACATCAGAAAAGTAGCCCGTGTACCAGTCCAAACCTGGAAGGGATGGGACCCAACAAACCTTCTAGGAGGGTGGTTCTCTAATTTAGGGGGATTTAAAACGCTGGTAGGGACAGTAATCTTCCTCATTGGGGTCCTCCTGTTTCTCCCCTGTGGTATCCCACTGATAATAAAAGCCATTAAAACTCTTGTTGAAACTACAGTTAACCGCCAGACAATCCAGACGATGCTCCTGCTACAACGACACGATGGATACCAAGCCGTCTCTCAAGAATACGCCAAAATTTTTTCTTTTTTTCCGAGGTGCCCACGCCACCCCCTATGTCACACCTGAAGTAGTTATGGAGAAAGTCGCCCCTTTTCCCTTTTTCTATAACCAAATAGACAGGAATGAAAGATTCTCCCCGGGGCCGAAAGCTTGGGGGGATGAATAACTCCTCCCTCCTCAGACCCAGTCGCAAGGCGCAAGGCCGCTTGCACCAGCAGCGCGCGTCAGCGAGAAGCAGAAGCAGGAAGAGGGCCGGCCGGAAGACACGCACCCCGGCCGGAAGACACCTACCCCGGCCGGAAGACACGCACCCCGGCCGGAAGACACCTACCCCGGCCGGAAGACACGCACCCCGGCCGGAAGACACGCACCTGAGGATGGAGAGAGGCCGTCTGGCTACTACGTGGCAGTCACGTCAGACTGGGACACTTCCTGTTTGCAGAGAACTATAAAATCCCTGCCCTGTCCTCACTTGGTGCTGACACCATTTTAGGCCTCAGCCCGCCGGCACCCAGGTGCTCATTAAAACAGCATGTTGCTCCACACCGCCTTGTGTTGTCCGTTGGCGCGCTCTTGGGGTTTGAACCAATACAAAAACCTTTCAATGCCTTTAATTACCGTTAGTATATAGCAGCTCCACGCACTATGAAATGCCCAGAGTCTGGACAGGCTGCCGGAATTGAAATCTTGGATCTGCTGCGTGTCCCTCAGCAACTTCTATCACTGTATGGCCCATCTGTAAAATGGGCATGATGATTGTGCCTCCTTTGCAGGGTGATCATGAAGATTCAGTGAGCTGCTATGTGCCAAGCTCTTCCAAGAGGGCCTGGCGTTTCAGCAGGTGCCATGGGAGGTAAATGGTGAATAACGCAAGTCTCTTCTTCCCAGTCATAGGAAGGCTCCTGAGTCTTGTTCTGCTGGCCTGATCATCATCTACCACAGGGAGGGCAGGTTGAGGTACAGATAAAATCTTGAAGAAAAAGCGTCCCTCGCCACTCCCAGCCCTCACCCCTCCATCACCCCAGCTCAGGTTAAGGGCTTGCAGGCACAGCTGCACCTCTGCCCAGGCAGCCCCAGGGCGGTGCCCTGGAGCCACTTCTACAGACTCCTAGGAAATTGCTCAGAGCCACGCAGCAGTGTTGAGACTGGAATCCGGGCAGGGCCCACCGCTTCGTCTCCCTAGAGAGCACTTGCAGACCTCTCTGGAAAACAGGCAGATTGGAGATTGGAGTTGGGAGAACTGAATACCCCCAAGTTAGTGGCGCACAAATGATGTTTCCATGACTTATGCCGGAAAGTCAATACAGTTACCAAGACAACTATGGACTAGGACGCACCACCATACTCAGACCTGGACCCTGCCTGAGCCTCTGCTGCAGCACGGTTGGATTAAACCCATCCCAAAAGTGATGCTTTGGGATTGCAAAAATAGCTGCCCCTCTGAGGAGACAGGAGGGAGCTGTGAGGGTCACAGGACAGCAGAGCCACGGTGTCCTGGATTTTCCTAAGCCCCTTTCCGATGGGGCTGGTGGCTGCGGTGGCTCTGACTGGGCAAAGGAGAGGGCATGGGTGGCGAGTGGCTCCTAGGCATTTCCAGGCAAGGGAAGCCCTCCTCTCCCAAAGGCCCTTCTCCCCGACCCCATTTCAAAACAGACCAGGGTCTTCCTTTCAAAACCTTTGTTTTCTTCTCTGGGTGTGTCTTCACTTCACTGTTACTGTCAGGCCTGAGGCTCAGCAGACGTCCTATCTTCAGCCACGCCCTAAGACTGAGCACAGCCTGGGGAAAGACCACCCTCTAGAGCAGCGCTCCAGGCTCCACCTGGAGCTGAGGGAGAGGCGCCCAGGCCGGGGAGGGAAACTGCCCGGCTTCAGCCATGCCTCTGTCATAAACTTCTTCCCATCCAGCCATAAGATGCAGAAAAGTAATTTGCTTCTTCTTGCTTCTTAAAACCCAGCTCAGAAAAATTTCACCCACCTCCATCCTGCCAAAAACAATGACAAAACCACTCACTCATTCAGTATTCTCAGACTGTCCCATCCGCTCAGAAACGCGACTGCATCTATGAGGCTTACTCCTCCTCCAGCTTGAAGCCACTGTGAGGACTGTGGTGAGCAGCGTGGCTTCACCGCCGCCCTGCTGAGGCAGTCTGAGGGCAAGGCACTTACAGTCCCTGCCTCCGCGTCCTCACCTGCCTTGGCGACCACGGGATCAGCCCCAGAACTGAATGAGGTTGCAGGAAACTTGGTTCAGCCCAAACTCTGTAACCTTAGATAAAACATTTAACTAAGTTGTCCCCCCTGGCCAAAGGAGGGCTCTGGACAACTTACTGTGTCTCTTTCAGCTTTAACACTCTAGATTCTTTTTTGTTGTTTTTTGTTTTTAGACAGGGTCTTACTGTCACACAGGCTGGAGTGCAGTGGCATGATCAAGCTTCACTGCAGCCTCGACCTCCCAGGCTCAGGTGAACCGCCTGCCTAAGCCTCCTGAGGAGCTGGGACCACAGGTGCACACCACCACACCTGGTTAATTTTTGTATTTTGTTGTGGAGACAGGTTTTTGCCATGTTGCCCAGGCTGGTCTCAAATTCCTGTGCTCAAGCAATTAGCCTGCCTGAGCCTCCCAAAGTGCTGGGATTACAGGCATGAGCCACCACACCCAGTACCACTCTAGATTCTTGACTAAATGTGAGTAGCTGAGTTTCAAAATGCATTTTAAAACTTATTTCTTTCCTCCTTTCTTTCCAGTCTCAAGATACAACCTTGAAACAGACTGCAAAAACCTTTTTTTCCTTAGTCTTAAAATACAGCCTTGAGATGTACTTTGAAACTGCAGTCCCTTCCCTTTTCCACTGCACACTTCCTTACCCCAAGCACCTTTATCTAACCATATGCTTGTTAGGAAATTCCAGGGCTTGATTAGAAACACAGCAGGCATGCAGGTCCAGCTGTGAAATGCTCCCCCACTTACAGACTGCCTGAAGATGGAGCATCTACAGCCCGACTGTAACCAGCAGAAAAAGGCCCTGGCTGGTCGCTGCTTGTGGAAGGAAGTCAGAATAACATGTTGGCCAAGCGTCGTGGCTCACGCCTGTAATCTCAGCACTTTGGGAGGCTGAGGCAGGCGGGTCCCCTGAGGTTAGGAGTTCAAGACTAGCCTGGCCAACATGGCGAAACCCCATTTCTACTAAAAAATACAAAAATTAGCTGGGCATGGTGACACATGCCTGTAATCCCAGCTACCAGGGAGGCTGAGGTATGAGAATTGCTTGAACCCAGGAGTTGGAGGCTATAGTGAGCCCAGATCATGCCACTGCACTCCAGCCTGGGGCACAGGGCAAGACTCTGTCTCAAAAATAAATAATAAATAAATAAATAAATAAATAAATAAGTAAATAATGAAGTTATTACAGCCTGAGACTAGACGGTTCAAGGAGGAAAGGAGAAAGGAAAAAAAAAGTTTTAAAACATGGTTTGAGGCTTAGCTGCCAAGCTGCTCAGTTACATGGCCATTGCCACTGTGAAGATGGTGCCAGCCTGCACTCCAGGTGGACCATAACTCAAGACAGGCATCAGAGCAAGACACAGCCCCTGCACCTGCACAACTCCAGCATGCCTTTCACATCAGGCTTCCCTTTTTTCAGCCCCTGCCCTCAGCCCAAACTTTGGAAATGGCTTCTTTAAGGCCTTGGCATTTCCCATCTGCTAGCATTTCATTAGTAAAGCTGCTTTCCTTTGACCACACCTTGCTTCTTGTGAGCAGCTGAACTTGAGTTGGTTACATGAAGATAACTATTTCCTGAGGGAGAATCACTTTACTGTAGAAACCAGAACCTGGAGGGCAGCTTTAGTTTCCTGGAGTGGTAGAACACTATTGATTACCTAACTGGTTTTGAGATTTAAATCTTCCCTTAAAAGAACTGTAGTGGTTTGAATGGGGCCTCCATGAAGATCTTTTCCTGGGACCTGTGAATGTGACCGTATTTGGAAAGAGTGTTTGCAGGATATCTAGTTGATGCCAGAGAAAGAGTGTCTGCGGGATACCTAGTTGATACCACAGGCTGGTGTCTGAGCAGTGGCAGCTCTCCCCAGCACCTGAACATACTGGTTTCCAAGCACCTGCTTGGATGGGAGTTATGTTTCTTTTGGGAGGGCAGAAGTGATGGGGTGCAGCTCTATCCAACACATACCAAGCTCTCATTTTGCAGGAGCATGTTGTCTTAGACCGCAAGCTGGATGATGTAAGCAGACACAGACAGAGGTCTCTGCCCTTGGTGAGTAACCGTGGAGAAAGTGGTGAGAAAGGAATGTATTGGATATCATCTGTCCTCTTCTTCTCAACTATAATGCAAGTCTGTACTGACCATCTTCGAGCCCCAACACTGCACACCTGGCCATTATTTAATCTAACTGGGATCCACTCGTCCAGTGCAATAAGGACAAACACCCGTCCTGAGGTTTGTGGCAGGAGAAAGGAAGGTGTTTATTTGCAGGATGCCAAGCAAGGAGAATAAGGCAGCTCACACTTAATATCTGACCTCCACAGCGGCTTGCAAGAAAGGGTTTTTAAAGGCAGGGCGGCTGGTGCAAAGGTAATGAGTTATCACGATTGTTCAGTGAGTTACACATCAAACACCTTGTTCTGCTCTTCCCCTGACTCTCACTACTGCATCTGACTAGTCATTAAAAAAAGAAAAAAAAAAGAAAAGAAAAAGAAAAGAAAGGAGAAGAGAAAAATAAAGGCAGGGGTAAATTTTAGGAAAGCAGAAATTACAAGCAAAATTATAAATCAATACATTGAAATTACTCATCGGTTTAGCCTCAAAAGGACAGGATACCTTGAAGCGGAGGCTTACAGGTCATAGGTAGAATTCACAGATTTTCTGATTTGCAGTAGGTTATAGAAGAGAAGCTTTGTTTAAAATTTGGGGTCAGCAGAAAAGAATGTTAGGTCTGGCTCTTGGGAACGACTTCCTCCAGTCCCAGGAGGAAATTTAAGACAATATCAGTTAGAGTTTAGTCCTTAGGCCCCCTTATCTGAGGTTTATGCGCCAGTGAATCCTTGCCCAGCAAGGAGCATGCCTTTGATACGCAAACTAACCCATTCGGACCCATACCTCCAGTATCTGACATGACACCCCAGGAGGCAACATTCCTCTGTCTTACGCATCCCAGAGCCTGGTGCCAGGCAATTAGTAACCATCCCTGTAACCCAAAGCCCACAGAAATTATTCAAACTAACCAATCCTAAACTGTTCACCTTGCCCTGCTTTGACTCTCTCAAAGGAAACCCCAATAAAGACGGTGGCCCAAACCTTCTCCTTGCTCCTGTCTTCTGCTTCCTGCCACCTGGTGTCTTTCCCATGAGGCCCTGCCTGGCCTGCTGTGCCTCCTGTCTCTAGGACCTGTGAGTAGAATAAACTTCGTCTTTTCCTGAGACTCTCCTCTGTCTTCTCTTGTGGCTATGCCTGACTGATCATCACGTAAAAAGGTAGAAAATAGCAAGTATCCAACCTCTTCGTATTTTGACAAGGTGTAGCAAGACTAATATAATGGGGCAGGACAGACACAACCATAGTATTTTTTTTTTTAAAGCAGGTGATGGAGAAAGGGTGGTTCTCCTGCCATTTGGTTGTGTGATTAGAAGACAGCCCTTTGTCACACAGTTGTCGGCCTGCCTGTGATATTCCCGGCTATGGCCAAGATGTGTGAGGTAAGCCCCGGGTTCCTCCCACTTCCGTGTATTCCTGAGGACTCTGCTTTCCCACACTGAGTTTTGCATCTTCTCACAGGGAATTTCTATGGCTTCTCTGTACTTTGCTAATTATATGCACATTAATCATGGTGACCTGGTTACAGGCTATGGTTTCAAGAGAAGATAAAGTTCCCAATTGGTATCTGATGGGCAAAACAGGTACAGATGGACCCCCTGGGCTTTGCCCCTGTTGAGCTCATGATCACTACTAACCACCCCCCAGATGCTGGGCCACTGGCACTCTATCAGCTGCCCTATACATGGGTCTGGGCTGCTAGAGGTACCTGGTCTTCCAGTGGTCCCTTCAACAGTCCCTTTCCTGTGGCCAGTCTGCCCTAAGCAAGTTTTCTAACCTCTAGCCTTGTTGCATGGACTAGTAGTGGGCACTGACCGTCACTTTCAAGACCAAACAGTATCAGTGTTTGTTGCTAATACTAAGTGTGTCTGGAGGCTGGGTGTGGTGGCTCAGACTTATAATCCCAGCACTTTGGGAGGCCATGGTGGGAGAAGCTCAGGAGTCTGAGACCAGCATGGGCAAAATAGTGAGAGCCCGTCTTTAGGGGGGTGAAAAAAAAGTGGGCTTATTTGATGGAATTGCTGAAGTGCTATAATCATCGCTGAATCGTCTACGTAACTCTGCAAGCAGAATTACTTCTATCTGATCCAAACTCTGCTTTTGGCAGAGGAAGGGAAACCATCTCACAGGAGAAGAGTGACTTGGACAAGATCTCCACAGGCTTCAAAGCTGGCCTTCTCTTTCCTTTGTGCCACAGTATGATTTAGGACTGATAGGGACCCTCCCACCAATGGCCTCATCTTTTTTTATTTGTTTCTTCTTCTAGCTGAGGCAAGAGTTGGGGAGATAGAGAAAAGAGAAAAACGACTAAGGTTGGCTTAAAGCTGTGGTGTGACCAGGAGTACAATCTACTCCCAGCGTATGAAACAGTTATTTCTTCTTCTTTCTTTTGGGGAGGGGCCAGATCAGGTGACCAGAACTATCTAAAGCCTGCAGGTCTTAGAAAACATGTTTTGGCTGTGCTTCACATTTTACTTTTTGTTTTTTGAGATGAAGTCTTGCTCTGTCACCCAGGCTGGAGTGCAGTGGCGCTCCACCGTTCATAGCAACCTCCACCGTTCACAGCAACCTCTGTCTCCTGGGTTCAAGGGATCTTCCCCCACCTCAGCCCCCAAAATAGCTACAGGCATGTGCCACCATGGCAGGCTAATTGTTCTATTTTTTTCTTAGAGATGGGGTCTCACTATATTGCTCAGGCTGGTCTCAAACTCCTGACCTCAAGCAATCCTTCTGCCTCGGCCTCCCAAAGTGCTGGGATTACAGGAATGAGCTGCCACGCCCAGCCACATTTTACTTTTTAAATGAAAATGAAAAGCCTAACAGGAATATTGACTCAGCAAGTTTTTATTATGCACCTGTGGGTTTGTGACGATGCCAAGGGATCAGAGGAACAAAGAGAGAGGATGTTGCTCAGATGGGGGTCTCAACCTCCAGAGCAAGGTGGACACAAAGCTCCAGCCAGCTGCCCAGCCCCTGGGGTGGGAGGGAAGGATCGAGGGGTAGCTGTTGTCAGATAAGGCCAAAGGTATCAGTGGCCAAAAGGGAGACAAAGATCTCCTGGGTGCAGCCTCCTCCACCACTGTGGTGAAGGGTGTTGGGCTGGAGGGTTGGCCGACCTCTCCTGAGAGCACGTTCCCCCTGCTGCTCCTGCTGCATGGCATCAACCTGGGTTTCAGTTACATTACCCAGGAGGATTTCCAAATCCAGAGGCAATGTGGCCTTCCATTTCCTGAGGTGCCTTGGTTGGCTCTGGATCAGTGGTGGGGACTCAAGAGACAGCCTCCCTGTGGCTTCCAGCCCCTCACATTCCCTTTGTCGCTTTCTCCTTCATGATGTGGTTTTACACAGAAAAACACTCTGGTAAGTAGAACAGTGTTCTTCTCTTGAGTCAGACGTCTGAAGCAGGAAGGTGAATAACCTTCCCAAGACCTTAGAGCTACAGAGAGAATCCTCAGCACAGGTAGGAGCACACAGGTAGGTGGGGTAAACGTGTACAGAGAGCCTGGCTTCTACTTGGAATTTTCCCCTCCCTTGGCCTTAAAAATCGGATTTCTCCCTTTTCCAGCTATGTTGATACAAGAGACAAACTATTTAGAAAGTAAAAGCCTCAACCGTTTATTTTGTGTTCAAAGTATAACCAAATGATTTTATTGCATTTACTGCTCCTGGGCATGCAGATGCATCTACACAGAAACAGCAGTTGTGGTTATAAAATCTTTTAACGAGTTTGGGGCAGAGGCTTTTTAATTATTTTTGAGACAGAGTCTCATTCTGTCACCTAGCTTGTGCAGTGGCATGATCTCGGCTTACTGCAACTTCTGCCTCCCAGACTCAAGCAATCCTCCCACCTCAGCCTCCAGAGTAGCTGGGACCGCAAACGTCAACACCACACCCAGCTAATTTTTTGCATTTTTGGTACAGACGGGGTTTTGCCATGTGGCCCAGGCTGGTGTCACTGAGCTAGGCAATCCACCCACCTTGGTTTCCCAAAGTGCTAGGATTACAGGTGTGAGCCACTGCACCCAGCCCAGAGTTTTCCTGATGTGAAAATTACGTGAGTGACAAGGAGCACCAGGAGCCTTGCCTGACTTACTGTCTGTTGGTAGGATGTGACATATGAATAATACAAAATACCCGTCTGGTTTGACTTGCAGATTAAATCACTGCTAGACTACAGCCTTGATGCCCTCTCTTGCTGACCCTAGCCAACATAACCAGTCTTCCAGGAACAATACCATGTTTTAAATTGCTTGAGGTTTCACTACCTGCTGTCACTCTCAGTCCGGAATCCCAGCAGGAGACACAGCTCCAGCTGGCCTGCCCAGCCCCCATCAGAAGGCAGGGAGGAAGGGGAATTTGTCAGCGTTTACGGCTATTGAGTATGATTCTTCCATGCAGAGGACACCTGCCCTAAATGCTGAAACTTGGGTCTGAACCCTGCCTTTGATGGAATTGTGAGCAAGCTCACTCAAGTTTGTATTGACTCATCTGTAAATTAGGAATGATATAGCATACCTCACGTTTATCTGGAGTCATGGGCTGAATGCTGTCCCTTTCAAATTCCGATGTTGAAGTCCCAACCTCTAGTACCTCAGAATGTGACCTTATTGGTAAACGGTTGCTGCGGATACAGATGAGGTTATACTGGAGTCGGTGGGATGGGCTCTAATCCGATATGACTGGTGTCCTTAAACAAAGGGAGGTTTGGAGACAGACACGCACACAGCAAGAGTGCCATGTGGAGATGAAGGCAGAGACTGGGTGACGCTTCCACACACCAAGGAATGGCAACTGCCAGCAAAGGCATGAAGCCGCTTCTCCCTCACAGCTCTCGGAAGGCACCAACTCTGAGGACACCCTGATCTTGGACGTGCACCTCCCAGAACTGTCAGGGAATACACTCCTGTTGTTCTAAGCCAGCCAGTGTTTGGACACACCAGCACTCCAAGCTAATGTATCTATCAAGTGTGTTGTCAGGCAAGGTTCTGTTCTGGAGCTTGGCTCACCCAGACAGGAGAACCCCTCACTGGGGGCAGAGCTCCACATTCCTAGACAGGACAGATTGGAAGAAGGGACTTAAGTGCCTTTTAAACGATGACAACTCCGCTTCCAACCCACAAGCATTTACCAAGGATCTTTGGGGTATAAAGACATTATGGGGTAGGTGTGCAACACAAATTAAAATGTAAGCTTTGTTTTTGGTGAGCTCCAGATCCCTAGTGATTGGCCCCCAGGAAAATCAACAGGTATGACGACTGTTTCCAAACCTCAAGAAGGAGCTCTGCAGACCCCTGCCACAGAGGCCAGCCCAAAAGGGCTGCCTGATCATCTTGGATCTGCGGGGTGCTCCTGCCTACCTGATGGCCACGAATCTGGGGCTCAGACATGACATGTCTGGCTCAGTGTGCCTGGCCCTGCTCCCCACTGAGCCCATCAGTCCCACCCTGCCTTCTTCTTTCCTCTAGTCCAACATCCGCCAGCAGCTTCTCAGTGGAAGTGCAGGCATCCTGGAGCTTCAGGAGCAGATCCTAGCGTTCAGACAGGGAAGGAGGGGAGGGAGTATACTGAGGTTTGGCTGGTGACCAGGGTGCCGCCCTGACGGGGGATAGCCCAGTTTTACTCCCCGAGCTTGGGGAGCATGGGCCAAGGGTCTCTAAGACGCAGAACACCTGGCATGTCCAACCTGGTGATGGCACATCCCCCCCGTTTTTTGGCACAGCAGAAACAGAACACTCACTTGGCCACTCTTTCATTACCTGGGGGAGGGAGAGTGCTCCCATGGCACCACCCGAACGCTCACTACCTGAGAGCAAGGACAGGAGGGAGGTGTGCTCTCTATCCTGGGGAAGGTATGTCCTGGGTGGGGGCGCTGATCAGTACCAAGGTGAGGGGGCAGCACCAGCCAGGGTGAGGCCGCCCCAGGCGGAGAGGCTCAGTAGGAGTTCAGAGCCTGCTTGGAACGGCGCTTCATGTGCAGGCGCTCGTGGCGGAGGAGGTCATAGTTCTGCGTGAAGCTCTTGACGCAGTACCGGCACTGGAAGGGCCGGGCTTTGTCCTTCAGGTGAAAGTGGCTGCGGTGCCGAGCCAGGTGGTCGTGCCGCTGGAAGGCCTTCCCACACTCACAGCACTGGAAGCTCAGTTTGGCCTTGCCGTTTTCCAGCGGCTCTTTGGGACCCTTGTCCGCGTCCTCGGATGCCGCCTGCTCTCTCTTCTCCACCGGCTGGAGTCTGTCCGGCTGCAGGTGTATCCGCCGGTGGGAGAGCAGGTGGGAGTTCAGGCGGAAGCTCTTCCCGCAGGCACCACACCGGTAAGGCTTCTGGGCCTCGTGGCTCTCTAGGTGCCCATCCAGGTCCTCGCTGTCGCTGAACAGCTCCCCGCACACCGAGCACTCGTGCGGCTTCTCCTGCTCCCTGCGGCTCCGCAGATGCCGGATGAAGTTGACCCTCCAGCGGAAGATTTTCCCACAGTTCGGACACACGTAGGACTTCTTGGAGGTCTGCACCTCGCCTCCGGCCTCGGTGCTGCTCCGGTGGGAGGCGGGGAGGCTGCGCTGCTTCTCTGTGGGGCTCCCCAGCTCTTCTGTGCAGTACGGGCCATGCTGGGAGTCCTCGTCCCCAGAGCTGGAGAGAACGATCTCGATGGTCACTTCTTCATCCAGGCTGTTCTCTAGAGATCGCGGGTTGCCGCCAGCTACAGGAAGGCAACATGCAGGTCAGCGACGCTGCACAGGCCACATCCCAGCCCCTATGACCGCGGCGGAGGAACACTCAGCTTGGAGTTTACAAACCCGTGTTTTTACAATGGTCCTCGGTGACCGGGGCGGCCTGGCCAGCCCTGCAGGGGCCACTGGTGTAGCCTGTGAGGAAGAAATCTTCAGCATGGGCCCCGCTGTGTCCAGAGCATGCTGGGCACCTTGCTCTCCCTCTTCCCAGCCATTTTCCCTTATCTCCACCCCCAACCCTTTTGTTCTCTACCCACGGAGACCACCCCATCCCCCCAAGCTCTAGGAGTCTGTATTTATCTGGGTAAAGCCTTGACCATTTACAGATCATGCACTTAACAAGGCATGGGGGAAAGCTCTATCAGGATAGTGAAAGGACTTGAGAGAGGAAGACTCTACAACCTACACATATCATGTGCTGGGCACTTGCATGCTCCAGGGACTGTGCTAGACTTGACATGCACATTCCTATTTGCTCCTGGACGCAACCCGATGACCTATTGGTTGCCATGTTTACACATAAACTAAGGTGATCTGTGCCAGGAAGGAGGGCTGAAATGCTACTCAGCCTTGCTAGGCTGCTCAACAGTCCCAGACTGCCCAGAGTCCTGGGTCCCCCACAGCTCCCCGGCTCCCAGTAGCACCGCATTTCTGAGGCCACAGGTGGTGATGGATAAAGCTGCTCTGGACTTCCTGCATCCTGAGTCTGTGATGTTGGGAAGGTGGAACCACGGGGCGGGGCTGGGTGGACAGTGCAGAGCCCGGCCTGAGGTCCCGGCTTATGGAGCAGAGCCCACCATACAGGTGGCCTGTTTCCTCACTGCTGTGAAATGTAGAACTCAAATCTAGAACTTGGGGGGAGTGAACCAGGCCCTCCCAGATAAGAGTAGGAACATGGTTAGTCTGGGCTTCATGACTGTGGGGAGGAGAGCCCTGGCTAGTCAGAGCAGCTCAGGACAGGAGAAGTTGGACAAACAGAAGCAGGGCAGGAAGACACAGAGGCTATGGAGAGCAGAGAGATAAAGGGCAATGGTGGAAGCGGAGGGGGCATTTGTCCCTCAGTCACAAGGGGGTCGGGGGAACATGAGTCTGGGAGTGGGTACTGAGTCTGCCAAGAACCCACGTAGTATAGGAGGGAAATCATCAGATGAAGACAGAGATTGTGTTTGTGTGTGTGCATGTGTTTTTAATTTTTTGTACAGATGGGGTCACATTATGTTGCCCAGGCTGGTCTCAAACTCCTGGGCTCAAGCGAGCCACCCATCTCAGGTGATCCACCTGCCTCAGCCTCCCAAAGTGCTGGGATTACAGGTGTGAGCCACTGCGCCCGCCGAGAGGCTATGTTTGACGCTTATCTCGACTCTTGGTTTTCGAGCTGCAGGAACCTCGTTCCAGCCAGACAGCTTCTCTGAGCTTGGGTCATCTCGTCTACAAGGTGAGAATGACAGTGGCAGCCCGTTGCTCTAAGCTGCTGGTGGGGCAGGTGAGGTCATGTGTATGATGTACTTTGTGGACCTCATGGGGTGGAGACAAGAGCAAGGTGTAACTTTTACCAGGCTGCCGATGACAAGGTACTTGATCAGCAGTTGACTTCTGTTAATGGACTTGGGTGGAAGAAGAAAACAAAGTGACAAGGTGGACCGCTAAGATCTCTTACTTGTTAACTGGGCGAGGAGATGGAATTATGAGAGCAGACAGTGCATGTTATGGGCGAAATTGTGTCCCCCTGAAAATTTACATGATGAAGCCCTAACCCATAGAGCCTCAGAATGTGATTACTTGGAGATAGGGTCTTTCAAGAAGTAATTAAGTCAAAATGAAGTCAGATGGTGGGGCCAATCCAAAATCACTGGTCTTCTAAGAGGAGGAGACTGGAGGCAGACTTCAACAGAGGGAAGGACCCTGTGAGGACACAGCAAGATGGGAGCCGTCTCCAAGACGAGAAAGGCCTTGGAAGACACCAGCTCTGCTGAAGCCTTGATTCTGGACTTGTTGCTTCTGGAATTGTAAGAAAGTAAGTTTCTGTTGTTTAAGTCACCCAGCCTGTGGTACCTTGTTATGGTAGCCACAGTAGACTAACATAGACTTTGGCACCAGGAAGTAGGGTGCAGCTAAAACAAAGACCAAAAACTGTCGAAGTGATTTTAGAACTAGGTCATGGGGAGAGGCCAGGAGAGTTCTGAAGTGCATGTTTAAAAAGCCTTGAGGAAGTGGCTGGTAGAAATACGGACGTTATAGGAAATTGGAGAAAAGGAGATCCTCCAATTATAAAGTGGCAAAGAATTTGGCCAAACCATATTCAACTGTTCTGTGGAAACAGAAATTGTAAGTAAGGAACTCGGATACTGAGCTGAGGAGGTATCGAAGCAAAGTGTCAAAGGCAAAGACTAGTTTTTTGCCGCTTATAGTGAAACGTGAGATGAGAGAGATAAACTGAAGAAGGAATTGTTGTAGCAAAAAGGAACCATGACTTCAAGATTTGGAAAATTCTGTCTATCCATACGGCAAAAAATAAGAAAGCGTGCACTGGAGAGACACCAAGAGTGTGGCTGGCTCATCATTTGTTAAAGAGATTCTGGGTATGATTCACGGATCCAATCAACCATCTCAACAGAAGCCAGGAACAGAGATGAGGTTATCCAGGAAGGTCTATGGAGGACACCCTCGTCTGACGGCCTGCAACCCTGTGGACTGCATGGAGGGCAGGGTTTCTGAGTATTATATACCAGCAGAAACACTGCCAGCTGGAACTGAAAGGAAAAGAGATGGGATGAAATAAAAGAAGGCTAGGACTTCTGGGATTCTACAAACTGGCCGATAGATCTATCTGGCTATGAATATGTACTATCCTTCAAGAAAAGGGAAGAATGACTCCAAAGGTGGCTCAGAGGTTACAGGACTGCCACTGTCATCATGGGACCAGAGAGTACAGGCTCAGGAGGTGAAGTCATTTCCTTCTGAGTTCCAAAGAGCAGGGCCAGTAGCCTGCTGGGCCTGGAGAACAGAGAACTGAGCCAGAGGTTATTGCTGAGCCTTAAAATCCCATGGAAATGACCTGCTAGATTTTTTTTTTTTTTTTTTGAGATGGGGTTTCGCTCTTGCTGCCCAGGCTGGAGTGCAATGGCATGATCTTGGCTCACTGCAACCTCTGCCTCCTGGGTTCAAGCAATTCTCCTGCCTCAGCCTCCTGAGTAGCTGGGATTACAGGTGTGTGCCACCACGTCTGGCTAATTTTTGTATTTTTAGTAGAGAGAGGGTTTCCCCATTTTTGCCAGTGCAGTCTCGAACTACTGACCTCAGGTGATCCGCCTGCCTCGGCCTCCCAAAGTGCTGGGATTATAGGCACGAGCCACACCACACCTAGCCCTGACCTGCTAGATTTAAGACTTGCTTGGGACCCATTACCCTTTCTTCTCTTGGATTTCTCTATTTTGGAATGAGAATGGTCTATGCTATGCTTTTCTCACAGTTGTATTTTGGAAGCAAAAAACATCTGGTTTCACAGTTCATAGCTGGAGAGGGTTTTGCCTCAGGATGAATCATACTTCAAGTCTAACCCATACCTGATTTGAGATGTTGATATTTAGATGAGATTTTGGACTTACAGTTGATGCTGAAACAGGTTGAGAATTTGGGGGCTGTTGGGATGAGGTGAATGGATTGTGCATGTGGGAAAGACATGAATTTTGAAGGTCCTGAGGGTGAGGTCTTACAGGGGATGAATTGTGTTGTCCCAAAATTTCATGTTGAAGTCCTAACCCTAAGGACCTCAGAATGTGACTGTATTTGAAGATAGGCTCTTTCAAGATGTAATTAAGTGAACATGACGACATATGGGTGGGTGGGCTCCCACATATGGTGGGAGGCCGAGGCAGGAAAATTGCTGGAACACGGGAGGCAGAGGTTGCAGTAAGCCAAGATCGCGCCACTGTTCTCTAACCTGGGTGACAGAGCTAGACTCCGTCTGAAAAAAAAGAAAAGAGCTATTGGTCTAACTGCCAGTATATGCATTAAACCATTTAATCCTTAGCAATAACTGTACAAGGCAGCTTTAACTATTATTTCTGTTTTCCAAATAAAAAATGTAAGGCAGAAAAGTGAAATTGCCCAAGGTTTCAGGGGAATTGAGCCAGTGGAGATGGGACCAGGGCTCGTGGCCACATAGCTAGCAGGCAGCCAGGCTGCTGCAAGTGCTTGTTGCAGGCGGAGTGGCAAAGGCATGCAGCGTGCAGGTAACTCCATGACTATCGCCTCAGGAAGGATGCTCTGGCCAGGAATGAATGACTTCCTGCGAGCTGAGGGGATTAAGGGGAACAGCAGGGGAGACTAGGAAGCTGGATGTGAAAAACCAAAATGATAAAGGCATTATTAAAAACTGTAAAATATTCTTGTAAAGTTAGAATGGGGAAGCTTTCTCAAGCAAGGCATAAAACCAAAAAGATGACGAATAAGTGTACCTACAGTTAAAAACTGTAAGAAAACATTTAAGCCAGGCATGATGGCACACGCCTGTAGTCTCCCCAGCTATTTGGGAAGCCAAAGCAGAAAGGCTGCTTGAGCCCAAGACTTCAAGACCAGTCTAGGCAACATAAAGAGACCCCATCTTTAAAAAACAAAACAAAACAAAACAAAACATTTATATGCTGCAAGACACATAAACAAAGTTGAGGGAAATGGAAGAAACTATGTATGAATACAGCAGAGGCAAGGGATTCAGACCCAAAACTACAACGACACGTGGGTTCAGGTAAGAATCAGAGACTTGGATTTGGTATTTAGAAGAACCTATGAAAGATGGCAGTTTCTATGAATCCACAGAAAAAGCAAACCGTGGTTTGGTAATGTAGAGTAAAAGCCATGGGTCTGAAGCCTGACAGCCTGAGTTCAAATCTTTTTTTTTTTTTTTAAGATGGAGTCTTGCTCCGTGTCCCAGGCTGGAGCGCAGTGGCGTGATCTTGGCTCACTGCAACCTCTACCTCCTGAGTTCAAGCAATTCTCTCTGCCTCAGCCTCCCAAGCAGCTGGGATTATAGGTGCCCACCACCACGCCTGGTTAATTTTTATATTTTTTAGTGGAGATGGGGTTTCGCCATATTGGCCAGGCTGGTCTTGAACTCCTGACCTCAGCGATCTGCCTGCCTCAGCCTCTCAATGTGCTGGGATTACAGGCGTGAGCCACTGCACCTGGCCGTTTTTTTTTTCTTTTTCTTTTTTTTTTTGGAGACAGACTCTCGCTCTGTTGTCCAGACTGGAGTGCAGTGTCATGATTTCTGCAGCCTTGACCTCCCAGGTTCAAGCGATTCTCCTGCCTGAGCCTCCCCAGTAGCTGAGACTACAGGTGTCTGCCACTGTGCCTGGCTAATTTTTGTATTTTTAGTAGAGACAGGTTTCGCCATGTTGGCCAGGCTGGTCTTGAACTCCTAACCTCAGGCGATCTGCCCGCCTCGGCCTCCCAAAGTGCTGAGATTACAGGCATGAACCACTGCGCCCAGCCTGAGTTCAAATCTTCACTCCACCACCTACAGCTTGTGAGCACTGGACTCTGGGCAAGTGACTTCAGCTCTCGGGTGCCCCAGCTGCAATACAGAGACATCATGCCACCTATCTCAGAAGGTGCCATGAAGATACAATGCACAGAATCATGTCATCATGTAAATCACTGAATCCTGGTGCAATGTTTAGGACATAAAGAAAACAAGTATGAGTGCAAAAATAAATAAATAAGGATAAATGAATACTAACTAGGCAATTCATAGAACACAATAAACAAGAAAAGATATTCCACCTCAGTGGCGGATGTAGTAGCATTATTTGATTGGCACAAACTGAACATCTGGGAGTGTCCTGCGTGGGCATGGATATAGAGAAGCAGACCTTATCACCAGCTATCCGGCATCAGCTGGCGGGAAAAGCCTTTTAGGAAGGCAAGCTGGCAGGAGCTACCAAAATAAGTACAGTGCCCACTCTTTGAAATATATCGTCTCTCCCCTTTCTCAGTAGCAACCCTTGGCTTCTGGCTGTTTCAGAGCAGTCTGTGTCAGAGTCCAGCAAGGGAAGAATGGAGTTGAAAACTCCTGTGTATAAATGAACATCCATCCATCTTCTAAAAGTATATTGATGGGGCTGAGAGACATGCTATGGGCAGAAAGAAGCTAGAGAAGATTCAAAGTGCACCACAAACATCAGGCCTGCGCTTGAACTCCAAGTGGACCCCAAATGAATGCATCACTCTTGGCACGCAGAGGTGGGCTTCTTAGAAAACCAGGGGTGGGCATCCATGCTTGTGGAGCAGGATCTCATCCTTTCAGATCTCCCACACTAGAAAAGCCCCTTTGTCCATGCATGAAAGGGGGCCAAGTACAAGATGCATGGAGCTGGGTCAAAATGGCATAAATCTTGCCTTCAAAAGCATCACAGGTAGAAGAGATAATATGTGTGAGTTGGTCTCCATAGCTGCAGAAAACTACAATGACACGTGGGTTCAGGTAAGAATCAGAGGCTTGGGTTTTGTATTGAGAAGAGAAAGATGGCAGTATTGTAGCCTCTGCTTCTGGAAGTGGTGACTTTTACCAAGACGACTCAGAGTCTACACTGTGGCTATTTCTCTGAAAGCAGGAATGGAACATACACTTTCCAAGAGTCCTGTGCAGCTTCAGTATGCCAGAAACCTGCTCTTTAATCCCAGTTCCAAGATTCTGTGCCAGGATGCTGGCCATCCATGCTGAGAGAAGAAAAACACTCACTGCATCACCAACAGCACTACAGCAGCACCCTGCTTTGACACACCCTCCCCGGCCCCTGGGAAAGGCAAGGAGGGTGAGCCTGGGATTGGGAGTGAGCTGGAGAATGACCCCAGCACAACGGAATCAGGGCAAGCAGCTAAGAACACCACAGCAGAGGTCGGCGGGGATCCTGAGGGGTTCAGTTCCTAACTGTCCCATGCCATCACCACCGCACATTTACATCACACACCCACATGCCCCCAACACACAGGTGCACCCATGAATGCACACACTCACACATGCAGCACACCACATATACCACATGTGTATGCACGCACACATGCATTCAACACAACCATCCCCTATGCCACACATGCATACATACATTCATGCGACACACCACAGACACACAGGGACAAACCCATACCTCCCTGACCCTTCTTTACCTGGGTAGGTGTTTTGAGGCACCACCGTCTGTGGGCAGGCCTGGAACTCTGGCACCTGCAGCTCCTCACGTTTCCTTCTTTCTTCTACCTGGAATGGCTGGAGACTTGGAGAGTCTTTCCAGAGGAGGAAATGGAAAAATTGATTTGTTTTGCACCTACAGCACTACCTGGGAGGGTGCTATCCGAATAGATGCCAGGCTACGATCTGGGGGCGGCCCTGGGCTCCGTCCTGGGGACTGGCAGGGGGTGGCCACTCAATAAGTGTCTGCTGAGTGAATGAACCTGAAGGCAAAATGGGCCAACTCCACAAACATGAGCTCTGACGCTAGACAGAATCGACGTAGATCCGGGTTCTACTCCACCCACTCTATGGCCAGAGACAAGCACTTCCCCCAGCCCCATATTTATTCCCACTTTCTGTGGTGGGTTTTCTATAGTCATCACCACAGGCTCCTGCACACTCCGCACATCCTGCACAAACAGCTTGTGCAGAGCCTACAGGGTAGAGATGGTACAGGAGCTACTGCACCACACCAAGTCTCTGAACGCTTGTTCCAGGTGGGGATGGTGTGTCAAAACCTTGTCTGCTTCATGCCAGCTCTAGGTCCCAAAGGGGAAGAAGGTGTGGAGCTGCTGATGATTCTGTACAAAGCTATTTCCTCCTGAAGGAGCAGATGCTTCGAAGCACCATGGCATGGAGATCATGGGTGCAAGTGCTGGCGACACAGCCTGAAGGAGGGCTGGAAACTGCTGCTGCTGAGCCCCAGCACCTCCCCACACCCCAGTGTCCTCACAGCACCCCTGTACCAGGCAGATGGGAAGACTAGACAGGTGAGGCACCTCAAAGGGCTGCGCTCGGTGCCCAGTTAGGAGACACTCCCTCTGCAACTAGGCTTGTCATGAGTATCTGACTTCACTCCTGGAGGGGCTGCTGCATTGTCAGCACAAACCAGATGTTACTTACAGGCAGAGGAGAAAGACATTCCTATTATTTCCCAGTCCTTGGCCAAGGGAGTACAATTCCAATGCCTGGCAAAATTAAGATCCTCCATTCTTTCTATGAAAAGTCAGGGACAAGGCAAGACATGCAAGACCCACATAGAGTCTGGGGAAATGAAGAAGGCAATTAGGGGCCGCAGAGAGAAGCCAGAGAGTGGGCTCACCTCCGGCTGCCAGCAACCCTTCCCCCTACTCTGTCCACTCAGTTCTGGAATCATTACTCACCCAAGTAGGAGACCTGGGGCACTTCTTTGCCCTGGAGATCCTGCAACTCTGGAACGCGTGGCTCATTCTCCTCTCCCTGGGAGAGATCTGGCTGGGCAGCTAGGTCGTCTGTTCAAAGAAAAAGGCAGGGTACATGTTTATTAGTAATCTGATCCTGCAGCAACCAGGGCTGGTCCAGAAGAGAGAAGGCGGAGGGATGCCCAGCGGGCATGGCACCATCAGGGGCGAGAAGTGAAAAGGCCAGAGCTGGCAGTGCAGGGGCAGTGGGGGCAGCACACGCAGGGAGAGCTATGGGCTTGGGGGTCTCTCTGAGGCTTTCGGGTGTAAAGCAGACATAAAGGGACAAAACGGTAAGAACGATGGAAGAGAAATGGACATACAGCACATGTTCTATTTGGTTCTGATAAGCCTGATGTGGCGAGACAGCAGGTGATGGTCAATCGGACACACTGCCTGTAGGGCCGCTGTGTGCAAATGACCTCCTGTCCAGGTTGGGGGTGAACAGAGAGATCTGATGCAGGCCCCGCTTCCCTGATCCTATGGGACGAAGTTGACTCTTACTCCAAGTGAGAACTCCCCTGCCCAGTTCCCTGGTCTTGAGGTGTGGGGGGAAGTTAAGTCTTACTTGGAGGCATTGAGACCCCGTAATCCTCCCCAATGATGAACTCTCCATAGAAGCCAGTCTGGGCAGGATCTAGAAGGGACCAATCCTCTTCAGAGAAGCATAAAATCATGTCCTTGAATGGAGAAACCCGACTCTGAAAGCACAGGAGAACAGGGATGCCTCAGTCCGGGACGAGCTAGGTGTCTCAGTCTTAGTCCACTGAGGCTGTGACAACACAACGCTGTAGGACGGGCAGTTTCTATACAACAGAAATCTGTTCCTCACAGTTCTGGAGGCTGGACGTCCAAGATCAAGGTGCCAGCAGGCTGGGTGCCTGGTGAGGGCCCACTTCTTGGTCAAAAGACAGGTGTCTTCTGTGTCCTTACATGATGGAGAGGGCAAGGGAGTTCTCTGGGGCCTCTTTTAGGAGGGACTAATCCCACTCATGAGGACTTTGCCCTTGTTACCAGATCATCTCCCCAAAAGTCTCCACTTCCTAATACCATCATCTTGGGGATTACAATTTCAACACAAATTTTGGGGAGATATAAACACTGAAACCATAGCATTCTGCCCCTGGTTCCCCCAAATTCATATCCTTTTCACATGCCAAACAAATTCATTCTATCCCAATAACCCTCAAAGTCTTAATTCATTCCAGCATCAACTCAAAAGTCCGGAGTCCAACATCTCATTTAAATATCATCTAAATCAGTTACGGTTGAAACTCAAGGCACAATTCTACCTGACACAAAATTCTCTCCAGCTGTGAACCTGTGAAATGAAACAAGTTATGTGCCTTCCAAATAGTGGTGAGGCCGGCGCAGTGGCTCACACCTGTAATCCCAGCACCTTGGGAGGCCGAGGCAGGCAGATTACCTGAGGTCAGGAGTTTGAGACCAGCCTGGCCAATACGGTTAAACCTCATCTCTACCAAAAATACAAAAAGCAGCCAGGCGTGGTGGTGAGCACCTATAATCCCAGCTACTTGGGAGGCTGAGGCAGGAGAATCATTTGAACCCGGCAGGCGGAGTCTGCAGTGAGCTGAGATCATGCCACTGCACTCCACCCTGGGCAACAGGGTGAGACTCAGTCTTAAAAAAAAAAAAACAAAACACACACACAGAGACACACACACACACACACACACACACACACACATATATAGTGGTGAGACGGGCACAGGATAAACATTCCAGTTCCAAAAAAGGGAAACAGAAAAAAAGAAAAGGAGTAACAGGTCCCCAGCAAGTCCTGAACCTATGGGTCACAGCACATTATGGTTTACGGCTTGAGAATAATCTGCAGAATAATCCTTTTTGTCTTGATGCTGTGCTCCCCAGGCCCACTGTGTTGGGAGGTGACCCCGCCTTCCAAACCCACAGGTGGCAGCTTCACTGGGCAGGAGTTGAGTCCCCAAGGCCCTGGGTGGTCCCGCCCCATGGCAGCCCCTGGTGAGGGCCTGCCCTTGAGGTGGTTCTCTGCAGTGGCCCCACCTCTGTGGCAGCTCTGTCTCTTTCAGAAGCCCAAGGCTCTCTTGGGCTGGAACTTCGCTGATGGCCCCACCATCTAGGGCTTCAGGGGTGACTGAAGCGGGGCTCTCTGCTGTGGTCCCCTGCTTGCTGCGGGTCTTGCGCTCTGGGCCTGTGATGGGCAGAAGAGCCCTGATGATTTCTGAATTGCCTTTGGGGTCATTTTTCCATTTTCTTGGACTAGCTCCTAGCCTCAGTTTCAATGGCAAAACCTTTATCTTCTCTCCTAAACAGGCTGGCTCACTCTTACCAACATAGGCTGACAAATATTCCCGATCTTTAAGTTCTGCTTCCCTTTTAAGTAACAATCCCATCTTTAAATCACTTCTCTCTTTTCACATTTCACAAGCTGCACCTTCAAAACCTTGCTTAGATATTTCTGCAGCCAAATATCCAATTGCAGTGGCCCGTAAGTTCTACCTTCCACAAAACACTAATACATAAGCACAGTTCAGCCAAGTGATTTGCCACTATAAGAAGGATGGCCTTTCCTCCATTGCCCACCACACGTTTCTCATTTCCATCTGGGACCTCATAAGAATAGCTTTACTGTTCACATTTTTACCAACATTCTGGTTGAGGATTTCAAATCTCCTCTTTTCTTTTGGAGCCTCACTAGAAATCACCCGTAATAGTCTGTTCATGGGCTGGGCACGGTGGCTCACACTTGTAATCCCAGCACTCTGGGAGGCTGAGGCTGGCAGATCACCTGAGGTCAGGAGTTCCAGACCAGCCTAGCTAGCCAAAATAGCAAAACCCTGTCTCTACTAAAAATACAAAAATTAGCCAGGTGTGGTGGTGCACATCTGTAATCTCCGCTACTCAGGAGGCTGAGGTTGCAGTGAGCAGAGATCGCACCACTGCACTCCTGCCTGGGTGACAGAGCAGGACTCCATCTCAAAAAAAAAAAAAAAAGAAAAAGAAAAAGAAAAAATTGTCTGTTCATGGCAACACAGGCTTTTTCTAGCCTGCACTTCAAAACTCTTCTAGCCTCTACCCATTACCCGGTTCCCAAGCTTCTTCCACGTTGTATTTGTTAGAGTAGCACCCAAAATGTTCGGTGCCAATTTTCTGTCTTAATCCATTTGGGCTGCTCTAACAAAATACCGCAGACTGGGGACTCATAAACAACATAAATGTATGTCTTACAGTTCTGGAGGCTAGGAAGTCCCCAGCTGATACCAGCATAGTTGGGTTCTGGTGAGGGCCCAGTTCCTTGCTCCATAGATGGTCATCATTTCATTGTGTTCTCACATGGTGGAAGGGGCAAGGCTGCTCTCTGAGGCCTCTTTTAGAAGGGCACTAATCCATTTATGATGGATTTGCCCTTATAACCTGATCATCTCCCCAGTGCCCCACCTCTTAATGCCAGCAGCTTGGGGGCTAGCATTTCAACATGTCAAAGCTGTGGGGAGGGGAACACAAAAACATTCAGACCATAGCACTAGGGGAGGGGGGTGGTGTGGAAGCTGGGGCTGAGGGAAGAGCCCAAAGCAACACATGCAGATAGAAGAGACAGAAAGGAGACCGACTACCCCAGGTCCAGGCGCCAGTGGACACACTGCTTTGTTATTTCTGCTCTTGGATCCACCTCATCCCTATCTTGTTTGGCAAAATCCACATGGCAGCTACCTGGCTGGGTGGCCAAGGATGTGGAGAAACAGGTCTTCCTCCTCAGTGCTGGGGAGGCTGCACATCCACCACTCCTATGGTGCGCTGCTGGGCAATGTCCAGAGGTCACCAGCGTGCTCGCCCCTCAATGCAGAGATTCCTAAAGTTTATGTTGTTGCACGTTACCAACATGCCCACCCTTCCGTGCAGGGATTTCTCAAGTTTATGTTGCACATGTGCAACGTAGTCTACAAAAGCTGCTTCACTGAAGCATTGATCTAATAAATACTGAAAACCTTGACACACATCAAGAAGACAGCGGATTAAGTAAGCTACAGAAACCTCACAAGGGATGATCCTACACGCACAGAAAGAATGACGGCCTCTCTGTACTGAGAAGGAATTCTCTTCAAAGTGTGTTGTTGCAGGAAAACACCTGTGCATGATGGAATCCGGATGGCCACCAAGTGCAGGGCGTCTAGGAGTTCCGAAGGTTAGCTGCTTCTCAAGAGGTTCCTGGGACTCTGGGGTTAGGTGTAACAGGGAGATTTTTTTCATAAACTTTGAATCATGGACCATGGGAATGTGTCAAAAACCTGATTTTAATTTCTATTTTTATCTTTATATTGTTTTAGACAGGGTCTCACTCTGTCACCCCGGCTGGAGTGCAGTGGCACAACCACAGCTCACTGCAGCCTCAACCTTTGGGGCTCAAGCAATCCTCCTGCTCAGCCTCCCAAGTAGCTGGGACTACAGGAGTGAGCCACCACGCCTGGCTAATTTTTTATTTTTGTAAAGATGAGGTCTTGCTATGTTACTCAAGCTGGTCTCAAATGCTTGGGCTCAAGCAGTTCTCCCACCTCAGCCTCCCATAGGGCTGGGATTACCAGTATGAGCCATGGTGCCTGGCCTAATTTTCATTACTTAATCCACTGTCTTGTTGATGTGTGTCAAGGTTTTCAGTATTTATTAGATCAATGCTTCATTTTAAAATTTTCATTTTAAAATTTCAATTTAAAATGATGGTATATCCATATAATACTAGGAAACCAGGAAAATAAAGCAGTCCTTTATATAATTGGAAAGGACCACAAAATAAAATTTTTGTGGAAAAAAGAAAAGTAACTCAAAGGACTTTTATATTACTAGTATCTATGTGACAAGCAAAAAAGGAACAGAATAATTTTTAAAACATGCTTTGCATCTGCCTACCTCTCTGGAAAACTATCAGTTACTGTCAGATGGTTTCCCCGGGTGTTGGGGCCAGGCACCCAGGACACGGCTGGGAAGGAGTGATTTTCTTTCTTTCTCTTTTTTTTGAGATCGGTTTTTGCTCTGTCGCCCAGGCTGAAGTTCAGTGGTGCAATCTTGGCTCACGGCAACCGCTGCTTCCCAGGTTCAAATGATTTTTGGGCCTCAGCCCCCTAAGTAGCTGGGACTCTAGGCATTCACTACCATGACCAGCTACTTTTTTTTTGGTATTTTTAGTAGAGATGGAGTTTCACCATGTTGCCAGGCCGGTCTTGAGCTCCTGAGCTCAAGTGATTCAACCACCTTGGCCTCCCAAAGTGGTAGGATTATGGGTGTGAGCCACCAAGCCCAGCCTTGACTAGTCTTTTTTTTTTTTTTTTTTTTTTAAAAAAAGCAAAAATATAGAGGGCAGAGGGCACTTAAAGGAATCATGTTGGTGAAAAGTAAAAGATGTTAATATAAAAAAAAAACACCTATGGAATAATTATGCGTCAATTGTACATATGTATCCCAGTGATCACAGCTGACGTGACCCATGCAGGACACCCCACCTTCAATGCCTCCAGATGTGCTGCATGGGGAGTGCACAGCCCAGTGTGGTTCTCCTGCAAAATGCGTGGCCTGAGTGCCACTGTGAGTCTAACCCCACCTGAGGGAAGGAAGCTGTATCACCTATCACGATATTCCACTCTTCAAAACTAGCCACAGCATGACAAACATTGAGAACCCAAGGAGGAAGTGTTAAGAGATGGGACAACTAAATAAGAAGCAACGATGCTGGATCATTATTGTTTTAATGTGAAATTTCCTCAATGTGATAACTGTATTGTGGTTAAGAGATTGTCCTTGTGTTTAGGAAATACGCTCCTTTGGCATGAATAAGGGGGCACAAACGTCTGCATCTAACTGAAGATTTGGGGAAAAATAGAATGAGGGGGTGGGAGTGGGTAAGGAAGAGAGAGGGAGAACGGGGAAAGTGAAGGAAAGGGTATTTGGAAGTCTCTGTACTGTTCTTGCCATCTTCCCTAACTTTAAAATTAATTCCAAAGAAAAAGTTTAAAATAAAAAGAAAGAGAATACCTCAAAAATTCTAAATTTGAGTCAGGGTTTTGGAACAAGGACTCTTGCCTGTACATATGAATCACAGGCATCTTAGTAAAAACTCTGACTCAGTAGGTCGGGGTGGAGCCTCAGAGGCTGTATCTGAATGAGCCCCTAAGTGGATCTGCTGCTCGGAAGAGGTCAGTGTGGAAAAGCCTGTCTTCCCAGGCTGTTCCACAGAATCCAAAACAGGCCTCGGGAAGCCACTGGATTTCATTACAAGGACCTGTGGGAGTCAACTTGATGTTGGTTTCTTAAATGGGGAAAAAATGGTAATTGCCCCAGTGACAAAAAATACAAAAGAATTCATCACTCTGACACGACTTCCTGGGAGAGGGGTGTGTGTGTGTGTGTGTGTGTGTGTGTGTGTGTGTGCACGACTTCCTGGGAGGGGTGTGTGTGTGTGCGCGCGCGTGCGCGTGTGTGTGTGTGTGTGTGTGAGCGCGCGCAGTGGGGGTCCCGAGGGAAAAACTGAGAGTATATATTAACAACAGATTTGGATGCTTTTTCCTTTGAGCCTTGGTTAGGTGTTTGAGGATCTACTTGCTATACTTTGAATGTGGCCCTCAAATTTCAGGTGCTGGAAACTTGATCCCCCATGTGGCAGTATTGAAAGGTGTGGCCTTTACGAGGTGATGAATAGGTTGTCATGGGAGTGGAACTGGTGGCTTTGTAAGCAGAGGAAGAGAGACCGGAGCAAGCGCGTCAGGACACTCAGCCCCTCGCCATGTGACGCCCTGCACCCACCTCGGGACACCACAGAGCCCCCACCAGCACGAACGCTCTCACCAGATGGAGCCCCTCAACCCGAATCTTCTCAGCCTCCATAAATATGAGAAGTCAATTATTTTTTTTATAAATTACAGTTTCAGGTATTCTGTTACAAGTGACAGAAAACTGACTAGACAGTCAAGGCATCACAGAAGCAAACCCAAGTCCAAGGGCCAGGTGGGTGGACAGACAGTGCTCCAGTCACCTCCAGAATCTGACACGGCCACTTAGCAGGATCCCCAGGGAGCTTTTAGAACCATATGGACCAATGCTTACATGCTGGGGAGGAGCATAAAAACAGGACATTGATCTACAGCGGGATCCTTTTATTTGTGATCGATTTATTTGTGAGGCACACAAATAAATTGGCAGAGAAAAGTCCAGAAGGAAGTTCACTAGACCATGCAGAATCTTCTCACATGACTGGGGATGAGTGGTATCTTTTCACTTCCTACATTTTGTTAATTTTTCACGAGAAGGGATGGGCAAGATAGATAAACATGTCTATTTAAGATTAAATCTTCAGAGGAGATTTTTCTAATGCTTCCCAACTAAGTAGAATGAAAACCCTGGACATTGCATATAAAATGAGCACAGGAGACTCTGAAAGGTGGAGAGAGGGTGGCAGAATGGCCAGGGACCTTGGAACAGTATGTGCTAAGTTCACTGGTTTTTCTTTCTACCACATATTCCCCTGACTTGAAGCCGAAGGAGCCAGCTACCAAGAAATACCCATGGGCACAGACCAAAAAAAGCTCCAACAAAAGCCACAGGACCTGGACAGGGGCAGCCCAGCCAAACAGGTAATAACTGCTCTACTCCACTTAATACCACATAAGAAAACTGTGGCCCCTTCTTACCAACACCAGCAGAGAATGACTGGGGAGCCTAGACTTCCACCCTCACCAGGTGCAATGAGGTGCCCTAACACCCCTGCTGGGGTGGTCTCAGAGAAGGCCAAATGCGGAGCTGGGACCTCCATCCCTGCTAGCTAAGAACAAGCCCCCCCCCCGCCACCAGTGGAGACCATGTAGGGAGCTGGAACTCCACTCCCACTCGGGTGTATGAGGAGCATCCCCACTTTGATGCCCGCGGAGATCCAGGAGGAAACCTGACGTTCTCTCACCAGGTAATAACAAGTGGTGGCCCACCTGCCCTTCTCTTGCTGGAGCTATGTCAAAAACAACACTGCACAACCAAACAAAACCAGCCACACCGAAGTTAAGGTCCAGAGTCTCATCATATAAAAATATGCAGGCAGAAAATCACTCACTATACCAAGATCTGAAACTGAATGAATAAAGATAACCACCAACAGATGCCAACCCTCAGGTGACAGATACGTTAGAACTATCTGACAAAGAAGCTGTCATAAAATGCTTCAATGAACAATTATAAGCACACTCCAAACAAACGAAAAAATAGAAAGTGTCTGTAAAGACACAGAAAGTCTCAGCAAAGAAACTGAAGATACAGAAAATAACTAACTGGAAATGTGAACAGTACAAACCACAATATGAAATAAGAAGCTCAGTGAATAGGCTCAGCTGAGGAGGGGACAGAAGAAAGACTCAGTCAACTTGAAGACGGAAAAATAAAGTTATTCCATCTGAACAACAGAGAGAATACAGGCTGAAAAAAAATGAACAGTCTCAGGTACCTTTATAAATTACACAGTTTCTAACAAGAGATCTAAAACCTGTATCCTTAGCAGTCTGGAGAGGAGAAAGAGAGAGGGACTAAAAAAGTACTAGAAAAATCTAGCTTAAGAATTCCCAAGCTTGGAAAGAGACATAAACCTAGAAATGTAAGAAGCTGAGCAAACTCTAAACAGGTTAATCTAAAGAAATCCATAACAAGACACAGCATAATTTAACTTCTGAAAACTGAAGGCAAAGGAAGAAAAAAATCTTAAAGGTAGCCAGAGTAAAATAATACCTTCCTTACAGGGAAAAAGTTTTTGAATGACAGCAGATTTCTCATCAAAAGCCATGGAGGCCAGAAGGAAGTAACATAATATTTTTCAAGTGCTGAAAGAAAACTGTCAAGTGTGAATCTTTCATCTGGTGAAAACATCCTTCAGGAATGATGGGGAAATGAAGACCTACTAAGATGAGGAAAAAATATGTAAGTCTATCACCAGCAGATCTATCTTAAAAGAATGGCTAAAGAAACACTCTAAACAAAAAGCAGGAACCTTGGAACATAAGAAGAAAGAAAACAGTAAGCCACAATATGGGTAATAAATAGGTTTTCTTTTTCCTTTTGAGTTTTCTGAATAATGTTTGACAGTTGAAGCACAAATTACAACACTCTATGATGCGGTTCTAAATGTATGTAGAGGAAATATTTAAACAACTGCATTATAATGGGGAAGAAGGATGAGGGTATGTAAAAGGAGGTATATTATATTTCTTTCTTTTTCTTTTCTGATGGGGTCTCACTCTGTCACCCAGGCTGGAGTGCAGTGATGCAATCACAGCTTACTATGCAGCCTCAACCCCCTGGGCTCAGGCAATCCTTCTGCCTCAGCTTCCCAAGTAGCTGGCACTATAGGAGCACACCACCATTCCCAGCTAATTTTTTTAGAATTATTATTTGTAGAGACAAGGTTTCGCTATGTTGCCCAGGCTGGTCTCAAACTCCTGGGCTCAAGCAATCCTCCCACCTTGGCCTCTCAAAGTGCTGGGATTATAGGCACAAGCCACGGTGCCCGAACAAAGGAAATAAGCTTCTACACTTCACTCAAACTGATAAAATGATACTCAGTAGATAAGTTATGTATATATAATGTAATACTTAGAATAACCACTAAAAAAGCTATACAAAAATATACATACACTCAACACCACACTAGGTAAATCGAAATGGAATTCTACATGTTCAAGTAACACACAGAAAAATAGGAAAAAGGAAACAGAGAAACAGAAACAGAGCCAGAAAAACAGAAAGACAAACTTAAGCCCTAACATGTCGGTAATGACATTAAATACAAATGGTCTACATACATCAATCAAAACACAGTAACTGGCAGAGTAGATTAGAAAACATTATCCAAATATATACTATCTAGGCCGGGTGCAGTGGCTCACACCGGTAATCCCAGCACTTTTGGAGGACGAAGCAGGTGGATCACGTGAGGTCAGAAGTTCAAGACCAGCCTGGCCAACATGGTGAAACCCTGTCTCTACTAAAAATACAAAAATGAGCCGGGCCTGGTGGTGCGCGCCTGTAGTCTCAGCTACTCGGGAAGCTGAGGCAAGAGAACTGCTTGAACCCAGGAGATGGGGGCTCCAGTGAGCTGAGATCGCGCCACTGCACTCCAGCCTGGGTGACAGAGTGAGACTCCGCCTCAAACAAAATAAAACAACACATATATACTATCTAAAAGTAACTTACTTCAGATATAATAATATAAGCAGGTTGACTGTAAAAGGATGGAATAAATATATTATGCAATTATTAATCAAAAGAAAGAAGAAAAGCTATATTAACATCAGATAAGAGTACTTTCTTACAAAACTTACCAACTTTTGTACTTACCAACGATTGCATACCTGGGCATTTATCCCAGAGAAATGAAGACTGATGTGTATATAAAAACCTGCACACAAATATTTACAGCAGCTTTATACAATAATGACCCCAAAACAACCCGGATAGTCCTCAACCAGTGAATGGTTAAACGAACTGTTGGACTTCCATGTGATGGAATACTACTCAGCAACGAAAAGCAATGGAATAGTAACACGCAACAACCTGAATGAAGCTCCATAGAATTACGCTGAATGAAAACAGCCAATCCCCAAAGGTTACATATTATATGAATCCATTTATATAACATTCTTGAAATGAAATGACATCACAGAGCTGAAAAACAGATCAGTGGTTGCCAGAGGCTGAAGAGAGGGTGAGGGTAGGAAAGAAATGAGTGTGGACATTAGGTAACAGGAGGTATCCTTCTGGTGAAGCACCTGTTCTCTATCTTGCATGTATCATTGTCAATACCCTGGGTGTGACATTGTACTATATTTATAGAATATAGATTTTTACTCTATATTTTACTATTGAGGGTTTAAAAAGTTCACAGGATCTCTCTGTGTTATTTCTTACAATGGCATGTGAATCTACAATTACGTAAAAATGAGAAGATTCATTTAAAAAGAAAAACAAAACTTCACGTGTACCATGTTCATAGCAGCATTATTCACAAAAGCCAAAATGTGGAAGCAATGTAAATGTCCATCGACAGATGAATGGATAAACAAGGTGATATATACACACATGGGAGTATTATTCAACCTTAAAAAGGAAGGGAATTCATGGCCAGGCATGGTGGCTCACGCCTGTAATCCCAGCACTTTGGGAGGCCGAGGCAGGTGGATCACGAGGTCAAGAGTTCGAGTTCAAGAGCCTGACTAACATGGTGAAACCCCGTCTCTACTAAGAATACAAAAATTAGCCAAGCGTGGTTGCGGGTGCCTGTAATCCCAGCTACTCGGGAGGCTGAGGCAGGAGAATTGCTTGAACCCGGGATGCGGAGGTTGCGATGAGCCGAGATCGAGCCACTACACTTCAGCCTGGGCGACAGAGCAAGACTCCATCTCGGGGGAAAAAAAAACACGGAAGGGAATTCCGACACATACTGCAACATAGATGAACCTTGAGGACATTATGCTGAATGAAATAAGCCAGTCACAAAAAGGCAAATAGTGCATAATTCCAATTATATGAGGTATTTATAGTCAAATTAATAGGGACTAAAAGTAGCATGGAGGTTGCCAGGGGCTAAGGGAAAGGGTAAATGAGGAGTTATTATTTAACGTATAGAGAATTTCAGTTTGGGAAGATGAAAAAGTTCTACAGATTGGGTGTACAACAATGTAAATATACTTAACACCACTGAACCGCACACTTAAAGACAGTTAAGATGGAAAATTTTACGCTATGTGTATATTACCACAATTAAAAACAGAAATTAAAAAACACTTATAAACAACATCTTCATGATGGTGACTTTTAGTGCACTGGGAAGAAACTATCACTGGGAAGAAACTATCAGAGTAATACAACAGTACTGACTTATCAAAATCTCTGTACTGTGCTCGCTATGGCATTTACTAGGGACTGCAGGAATTGAAAGATGAAGACCAAACCTCATTAGGTACTGGATTAACAGCATCCCCTTATGTGTTATACTGGTTAAATGTCCAAATTTTAATAAGAAATACTGGTTTTACCTCCTTTGTGTTTGGAAATGGTCACAGTACACAGCAGATGCTGACATGTATGTGTTGAGCATCAGGGTAAACAGGCGTGTGCCACATTTCTGGTGGGGCAAAAGCAAGTTATGGAGATGCCCCCTAACTGGGTAACCTGGCTAACTCCTTCCCATCCCTAGCCCTCCCTTCTCCAAGTTTAAAGTCATGTTGGCTGGGCACAGTGGCTCATGCCTGTAATCCCAGCACTTTGGGAGGCTGAGACAGGAGGATCACTTGAGGTCAGGAGTTTGAGACCAGCCTGGGCAACATGGCGAGACCCTGTCTCTACAAGGAAATACAAAACTTAGCTGGGTGTAGTGGCATGCACCTGTAGTCCCAGCTGCTCAGGAGACCGAGGTGGGAGGATGGCTTGAGCTCAGGAGTTTGAGGCTGCAGTGAACTACGACTGTGCCACTGCATTGAAGCCTGGGTGACAAGGCAAGACCCTGTCTCTAAAAATAAAAATAAAATAAAGTCATGTCAAATGAACTGTGCAGAAAGCAAACTGCTCAGCTTCCGACATTCTGCTGAGACATGGTAATAAGAGTGTCTACTGTTTTTCACAGTTTTCTGTTGGGTAAGGAGCAACTAAACAAAAGCAGGAGCCACACATCCTGTTCCCATGGGAGGGGATGATGCTGTCATAACTAAATCTTGTGCCAGCCAGTGGAAAGTGTTAGGAGGGAAAGTGAAGGAGATATGGCCAGAAAACATGGCCAAAGACAGCAACTGGGCTAGAGAGAGGCGAGTAAGATCACCTGCTGGACCAGCCCCCAGCCCTGACTCTGACTCCTCAGAGCACCCGAGTAAGCAAGTCTTACACAAAAACACGAACGAGAACATTCGAGGAAATTCTGGAATGACTCACCACGTAGATCTGTGACAGGACTGAAATTATCTGTGCTTTCTTCCCTCCACTTCCTAACATTTCTAAAATATAACCATTGCTGCGATGATTATTAAATTGAAAAATTCTCTGTAAAATAAAAGAGCAGAGAGATCTCCTTTTTCACAAGAGGGGAACTTAGACATGCTGAGAGGCCCATCAATGGGGACTCATGGGCCTTTGTTTCCTGCTATCGTCTGCACAAAGCTTCCTGAAGGTGGCCTGATGACAGTAGACCCAGTGGGCGGCTGGGACCACAGGGAAGGAGGAGAAATGGGGCGTCTCTTAAGCTCACGCTCTGCCTATTTTAGCTTTTCTGGGCTGGGACTGAACATCCTGTGTGGCAGTCAGAAAGCTGGCTGGGGTCCTAAGAAAGCTGCCCTGTAGCCTACAGAGGCAAACAGGGGATTTTCAAGGACTCCTGTAGAAACCACTCACCGGGGGTAGCTGGAGGGTGGTCACCTGCTGTGTGTCCCGCACATTCTCTTCCTGAAGAAGGAAAGCATCTTGCAGAACTGAAAGAGATCAGAAAATGGTGTCCTAAAGTGGGCCAGGGCCAGGCCTGGTGCTGATACCTTCTGAGCTTCCTGCGGCTCTTCATTTCCATTTTGGTAGCAAAGAAAATCACAAGAGAGGCACCAACAGGGAACTGTTTCATGGTGCTTTTCATAAAACCCCAGTCTCTGTTCTTAACTGTAAAATGAGGATTACAAAATGACGCACATGAAAAGTACTCTGTAAACCACAAAGATTGCTGCGACTTTGTTTCCAGATATAACAAGGGGGGCTGTAACAGAGTGTGCCTGGGTTCATGATAGCACGGTCAATTAAATGAACTCTTTCACCTCGGGTAGGTCCCCGGACCTCAGCATTGTTATCCAAACTATGGGAAAATAAAGGTTAAAACTCTATGGAGTTCAGCCGTGTGTGGTGGTACATGCCTGTAATCTCAGCTATTCTTATTTTGGGGACTGAGGTGGGAGAATCACTTGAGCCCAGGAGTTCCAGACCAGCAGGGACAACACAGAGTATTTGTTTCTTAAAAAGAAAAAGAAAAAAAAAAAGAAGAAGAAAAAGAAAAAGCCGTAGAGTTGAGGAATCTATAAGGACTCTTAGGGTCTGGATGTGGTGGCTCATGCCTGTAATCCTAGCTCTTTGGGAAGCCAAAGTGGGAGGATTGCTTAAGCTCAGGAGTTCAAGACCAGTCTGGGCAACATAGGGAGACCGCATCTCTATTAAAAATAAAAAAACTGGGAAGCTGAAACAGAAGGATTGCTTGAGCCTGAGAGATGGAGGCTGCAGTGAGCCACAGCTGCACCACTGCACTCCAGCCTGGGTGACAGAACATGGCTCTGTCTCAAATGAAAAAAAAAAAAAAAAAAAGTAAGGGCTGTTGGCAATCAGAATTACTGTGGAACTCCATAAAAAAAGAAGGAAAATCCTGTCATTTTTGACGACATGAATGAACCTGAAAGACATGCTACGAGCAATAAGCCAGACACAAAAAGAAATACTGCATGTTCTCACTTAAATGTGGACTCTAAAAAAGTTGAACTCATAGAAGCAGAGATCAGAATGCTGGTTACCAGAGGCTAGGGAATGAGGGGACTGGGGAGACATTGGTCAAAGTGTACAAAATTTCAGTGACATGAGAGGAGTAAACTCAGGAGTCCTATTGCACAACATGGTGACTATAGGCAGTAACAACGTACTGTGTACTTGAAAATTGCTAAGAGGGTAGATCTGAAGTATTTTCACCACACACAGAAAAAGGATAGGTATATGAGGTAATGCATTATATTAATTAGCTTGACTTTTTTTTTTTTTAAGAGACTGGTCTCACTAGGTTGCCTAGGCTGGAACAGAACTCCTGAGCTCAAGGGATCCTCCCACCTCAGCCTCCTGAGTAGCTGGGACTACAGGTGTGCCACCATGCCCAGCTAAGTAGCTTGGTTTAATCATTTCACAATGTGTATAGATATCAAAACATTACACTGTACACTGTAAATACATACAATTTTTTTTTGTCAATTTGAAGACAGAAATTAAACAAAAAAGAAAAACTGTTACCACTGTAGGTACTCCTGAAAGAGCATTTGACACAGTGTCCTAAAGACCCTCATACAAAATGTAAAGTGTGGCTTTGGGACCATCTCACCAGCCTTATTTTGGGCTACCAGGGACTCTGCCACTCTTCTCTCCTGGAATTGGAAACTACCCTTTGTTCAGGCTTCTGCCATGAGCCACATCCCCTGCCAACAGTGCAGCCATGTAAAAATGAGCTCTGTTTCAAAAGGTACTCCTTTCTCAGATTAAGACTTGGAGAGCTGTGCTATAGTCTACTGGTTAACCCCAGGTCACATGTTAAGTCATTATCAAAGCAAACCCCAGAGGCCAGTGTCCCTGGCCTTTCAGACCTGGAATACAAAGCCTGCAGGAAACAGCAGCTGCAGGAGTGGCTATGTGGAACAAAGGACGGGGCCAGGAGCCCACACAGATGGCAGTGCCATTCTAGGGGTCTCAGTGGAAGGCAGCCTCTTCACTGTGTCTGAAGGGGAAGCTCAGGCTGGATGGGCGTAGATTTGAGGAGGTGGTATTTTTCTGTGTGTATGTTCCATTTTAAGTTTCTATCTTCATCTTTATTTAACTTACTTTTACCTCCCAGTTTTATTAAGCTATAATTGACAAAAATTGTATGTATTTTGTATACGAAAACTGTACAATGTGATAACTATACATTGTGAAATGATTAAATTAAGCTAATTAACAAATCTATACCTCATATATTTTTGTGACGAGAACATTTCTTATTTACTTTCTTAGCAATTTTCAAGTATAAGATGCATTATTTTTCATCAACCTCACCATGCTGTACCATAGATCTCCAGAATTTATTCATCTTACCTAACGGAAACTTTGTACTCTTTGACCGATGTCTCCCAGAGGGGGTGTTTTATTTTTTAGAGGTGGGTTCTCGCTATGTTGCCCAGGCTGGTCTCAAACTCCTGGCCTCAAGCAATCCTCCTGCTTCAGCCCCCTGAGTAGCTGGAACTATAGGCATGAGCCACCATGCCTGGCTAGGAGGTGGTGTTTTAGTTCTGCTTCCTCACACCTGCCACCTTCTGGGATATGTAGCTATCCCAGATATTCATATATATATGAATGGAGATGCCCCCTAACTGGGTAACCTGGCTAACTCCTTCCCATCCCTAGCCCTCCCTTCTCCAAGTTTAAAATCATGTTGGCCGGGCACAGTGGCTCACGCCTGTAATCCCAACACTTTGGGAGGCTGAGACATATGTATATATATATATACACACGCATATATATATATACACACACACACACATATATACACACACACACACATATATACACACACATATATATACACACACATATATATACATACATATATATATATACACACATATATATATATATATATGAATATGTAGTCCCACCCTACTTTTGGCCCCGATAAATGAATACATGGACCCTTTCAAGAATCACTTCGGAGAGTTGCAGACCCTACACAAAATCTAGCTTTTGGGGAAGATCTTCAAGATGAGGAACTATACAGCTCTGATAGGTAGTGCATTCCAATGATGAACTGTCCCAATAGTTAAGGTTTTCCTGATTGCTAACTCTCATCATACCTACTTTGCCTATTGATTATTGCTCATGGAAATGGGAGAGCTGGCCCTGTTTTCCTAAAGCCCATCTGTGGTTGCTGGCTTATCTCAGAACTTTATCAAGAAGCAACTGCACAGGCTACTGTAGTTCCTGAAACTTCTTCCTCTCCACCTGCATGCCTTCCCAGACCCCACTACAAGGCCTCTCACAGCCCCCCACTTCCTGCATAACCCAAGCTACTTGCACGTGCATTATGTGGGCGACTGGCTGCTTCCCTTATACCTGTTGTTACAGGCTAAGTTATGGCCCTCTCAAATTCCTATGTTGAAGCCCTAACCCTTAGGTACCTCAGAATGCGACTGAGTATTTGGAGATAGGGTCTTTAAAGAGGTCATTAAGATAAAATCAGGTCATATGGGTGGGCCCTAATCCAATAGGACTGGTGTACTTATAAGAAGAGGAGATTAAGACACAGACACACACAAAGGAAAGACCACATAAAGAGACCCAGAGAGAGAAGGTGTCTGTTACACCTGCTCTGCAAACTTCTCTTAGTGTAAACATCTTCCTCTTCCTTTCCCTGAAAGAAAACCGCCCGTCATCAAGAGTCCTGGCACAAAGCTTGTTGTCAGCTTTCAGGGCCGGATATTCATGGGTTTTTACGGGTCCCAAAGAGAGCCAGTGGCATAAGAGACTTCCCCTCCTAGCTCCTTTTTTTTTGTTTTGTTTTGAGATGGAGTTTTACTGTTTTTACCCAGGCTGGAATGCAATGGCGTGATCTCAGCTCACTGCAATCTCCGCCTCCCAGGTTCAAGTGATTCTCCTGCCTCAGCCTCCCGAAAAGCTGGAATTATAGGCACCCACCACCACACACAACTAATTTTGTATTTTTAGTAGCGATGGGGTTTCACCATCTTGGCCAGGCTGGTCTCGAACTCCTGACCTCAGGTGATCCGCCCGCCTTGGCCTCCCAAAGTGCTGGGATTACAGGCGTGAGCCACCGCGCCCAACCCCTAGCTCCTTCTAAATGTCTATCTGCAAACTTCTCTTAGTGTTAACATTAGGCATGTCTACAAGCCAAGGAGAGAGGCTTCAGAAGAACCCAAGGCTGCTGATACATTGACTTCAGACTTCCAGCCTCCTGAACTGTGAGAGAATACATTTCTGTTACATAAGGCATCCAGTCTGTGGTACTTTGTTATGGCAGCCAACAACACACCAAACTTGATTTATAAGCAAGAAAAGGCTGAAGAGTTTATGTGATTTGTACAGAAGTCAATATAGTTTTTCCACACACAGAAATTTAATAGGCATTTTGGTTTTATTACTGAAAAGCTTATCATAATGCCAAACACAACTTCTGCAAGTCATAAGAAAGTCTCCCCTGGCCCCCCAGACACTCTCTTTCCATTGTACCTATAGAGCACTATGGCAAGTCCACCCAGAGTCATAAGAAAGCCCCCCTGGCCCCCCAGACACTCTCTTTCCACTGTACATATAAAGCACCGTGGCAAGTCCACCCAGAGGAACCCACGGGCCAGACTTCCTTCAACCCAAGGGCGCTGGTTTCCCATGATATGTACTTAAAGTTTTGGGCACCTCAGGCCTTGTGTTCAACCTTTTGTAGGTTGTATCTCATTTAATTGTCCAAAAACCCCAAAAAAGGTAATTACTATCTCTGCTGGACAGAGGAAGAAACTGAGGCTTTCAGAGTTTAGAAACATGCCTCAGGTCATAACCAGAAGATTCAAATCTAAGTTTATCTGATGAAAAAACTACTTTCCTGTAGCTACCATGTACTTCATATACATACTCAAACTATGTGTAGCTGATGTTCTGGCCCCACACACTAGACACCACCCTGTGTCCTCCTAAGTATTTCTACATCTCTTCGCAGCATCACAATACTCCTGTAAACAGGAGTTGTTTAGCCAAGGAAACAGAGGTTCCAAGAGACAAGAAATGGCCATGCTCCAGTCATGCAGCAGGCCCCAGCTGTACACTGGCAGTCCCCAGCTGTCATCAAACTGACAAATCCTGCAGAGATGCACCCTCGAAGAGATGAGAGGGCACCACCTCAGTGACACCCACCTACAGAAGCGTTAGCTCTGAGAGGCTCTAGAACCATGAAGAGGACAAACATCCTGATGAGGTTCTCATTTAATTGCTCTAGGAAGGGACTCAGACCCTGACAACAGCTCACAGCACCTCGGGGACACGAGAACACTGCTGATGTAAAAGCCATCAGCTTAACAAAAACCACACCCAGTGCACAGTATGGGGTGTGCACTTCCCCAGATCACCCCTGCTACACTCCCCTGGGCTGCATACCTGGGTCCCCGCTGAGCTGGCTTGGTGGTCTGCTTGGGAGCCCCAGGCACTGTGCCAGGGTTATGGGCTGGGCATCCTGGTTCTTTGCAAGGTCGCTGTGGGGCTCTACCGGCAGCTGCTCCTGCTCCTGGTCCAGAGGGCTGTCCCCATCATCAATCACCACAGGGTCTTCACAGTGCTTGAGCTGCAATCCCAGAGACAGCTTTTCAGGGCTAGGGGAAGAGGTCCCATCTCTCCCTGGGCCTGGTGACCATCCACTCCACAGCTGACCATCAAAGGCTCAACTTAGGCCTTGGACTGGGCTGTAAAGGGGCACGACACTATCATGCCCAAATTAGAGCCTTCAGGGAGTAAAACTGGCTTTCTTAGGAAACTCTAGTCTGGACCTAACCAAAGTAAATGGCTCTCGATGGAACTCCTCATTCCCCAGCCAGCACATGCATGGCCCAGCCAAAGTGTCTAAGTACCAGATCTCTACCCGTCCCAGCCCCACCTCTTCTACTCACCCACTGCCAGGGTCTCCCGGGCTCCCGTTCCAGTGCCTCCACCGCGGCCACAGCCTGCTCTCCGCTCTCAGGCTCCTGCGCCCGCACCCAGCTCTGGATCTCCCGGGGCAGGATGGCCAGGAACTGCTCCAGCACCAGCAGCTCCAGAATCTGCTCCTTGGTGTGCCTCTCAGGCCGCAGCCAGCCCCCGCACAGGTCCCAGAGGCGCTGCAGGGCCTCCCGGGGGCCCGCCGCCTCCTGGTAGCGGAAACGGCGGAAGAGACGCCGAGAGGACTCGGGGCTGGGAAGCTCCCCCTGGGGGCTAGGGTTCTCTCCAGGTGGGCTCCTCATTTTCCTGGGCTCCTCACTTTCCTTCGGAGCCAAGACTCGGGGGCACAGGGCTGTGGGCATGATGGGATTTGATGGGGGTCAGCAGCAGAAGACGACCCTATTTCCAAACAGAAATCACTGGCTTCAGTGTTCTGGTCTCCTGTGGTCATTTCTGGGGGACAGTGACAAGGAAACTGTCAATGCCCTCAGAGACCAGCCCTTTGGAGAAGCCCTGGGAAAGGTAGGGAGTGTTGGTGTGGCTGGTCTTTACACACAGGATGAAACAGACAGAAAGATGCCCTCCCCCCATCAGTACCATTACGTGTGGATTCCCGTTAAGTGGGTGACTGGATGAACAAGACAGGAAATCTGGGAGAAAGTGGTGGCATTTCAACGTGACACTGCTGTTTTGAGCATCCCAGGAAACCAACAGCGCCACATGCAGATGTAATCAAGACGCTCTGGTACCTTGGGTGGCTGGGTCCTCCTGGAGAGATCCGAGATGGGCAGGCCAAGCAGGCCACTATCTTGAAGCTCCGGAGCCGAAGTCACTGTTCTTGTTATTAAGACCTTTACAAATGGAGCTGGAATGACAAAGACATGCATCGGATGAGCCTTCAAGCACATCCAGGAATGGAAAATCCACCCTTCTGGTGGCAGAGGGCTGATGGTGCTGCGTGCTGGATGGACAACCCAGCCAGAATCAGCTTTGCCCAGCAGAGTCTGCAATGGGAGGCAAGGGAAAACATCACATGAGACAGCTACATGCAGTCTACCAGGGACAAATAACACTGCATCTAGAAGTATCAGTGGTTTCCTATGAGCCTTCTGCCAATTCTGCCCTGACCTTCAACCTCGCCTCCACCCTATTCTCTATCCTTGCCCTCTTCAAACCACATTGAAGGCAACTGCACACTCGCCAAAGCCCTTCCTCGGCCAGGACAGAAAAGTGGGTCCGTCACTGCACAGCTCAGCCCTCAAAGAACCCCTGGACACTGCAGCTGCCACACCCCCAAGGTGGGACTCAGGGGTCCCTACACCTCCCCGCTGGTGTGCAGACAACTAGCCGACACTTTTGCCACAACTAGGGTGGCAAGAGACCAGCAACCAGTATACCTGGTGTTTATGATTCCCACTTTAGAACGCTGGGCCCGTGAAAGGGCACATGGGGACACTCACAGTCCCCTTCTCTGCCATCAGGCCTCTGTGATCCTTAGGACCGGCAGTGCCTGCCACTCCCCCATCTGCACGAGGTTGTCCAGCGTGGCCGCGTCTTAACCTCCAACAGCTCACAAGGTGGGAAGGGGGACTCGGGCCTCACTCCCATTTCACAGAAAGACAAGTGATGCCAGAAAAGCTACGGAACAACTGAGTGGTTCCAGAAACACCCACTGCTCTGAATCTCTTTGCTTTCCAAAGTAACAACATACACAGAAACCCATATGGGGGCCGTGGCGGCGTCGGGCTGGACGCATTACAGCGCTCCCCACCACCGGATCGCTTCCAGGGCGGCTCCGGCATCTGGAGCCCGGGGTGGGCCCCGCCCGCCCTGCTCGGCGGCCCCCTGCGGCGCCCATCACACACCTGCAGCGCCCAGGACTACTCAGGCCCGCCCCCCCGAGCACCGGCGCCCACCCGGGCTGCCACTCGGATCGTCTCCAACCAGACGGCCGCGTCCGTCTTTGTCACGGCGGCACCTGGCGCGTCGGAGGCTCGGAGGAGATGCCTGATGAATGAACTAACGTGAGTGAGGCGGAGGAGGGCCCCGCAGGGGCGGAGCGAGCTCCCAGCCTTTCGCGGAGGAGGGACCGAGCTGGATCGGCAGAAAGGGAAGGAGAAGGTCGCTGTGGGCCAGGGAAGGGGGAGCCCGCCCTCCGCGCCCTCGGTCTCCCTCACACGCGCGTCTCCCGTCTCGCCGGCTCCGGGCTCCTCACCTCACAGCCTGGAGCTCCCTCCCGGCGTCCGGCCGAAAACCCTCCTGTGGCGGCGGAAGTCCAGGGCAGCCGTCCTCATCCTCCCAGCCCGCCCGGCCGGGCGTACTCGCTGAGGCGGGGTCTCCGCAGGCGCCCGGCTCCTTTCCCGGCCCGTCCAGACCGCGTCTCCCGATCATCCGGAAAGCCACGGCTCGGCTCGGGGGCAAATGGAGGCGCCTGAAAAACAATGGTGTTGCTTTCTCCCCCGCCCGCACCTTCCTGAGCGCTGGGCTCTGGGCTGGGAGGCGGCGCCGCGGAGGCCGGGCGCGGGCCGAGGAGGGCGGGGCGGGGCCGGCCGCGGGAGCCGGGGTGCACTCACCGCCGCGGCGCGTCCCTGTTGGCGGGCGGCGCAGGCCTGGCCGCCGCGGGAGCCCGCCGGACGCCGAGGAAAGGAAAGGCCGGAGCCCTCCGGCTCCCTCCCCTGGGACACTTCCTGCTCCGCTCTAGGACTGGGGAGGTCTCCGCATCTCAGTGGTTCGCTCCCCCGCCCCCCGGCCGAGGTGTGCGCTGGGGGTGACATCCGACACCCCCGGCCCGCCCCGCTCCGCGCGCGCCTGGGCCTGGCCGCCGGGCCGGGGGCTTTGTGGGTCAGCCACGTCGCCGCGCCCGGGCTTCCCCGCGGGCCCGCCGGTCCGGAAGGTCGGCCCGGGGCTCTTTTCTCCGCTGTTCTCCTTCTCTGGCGCCCCCAGGACACGCGGCCAGTGGACGCCCGGAACGGCCGACCGGGAGTCGCGGCTGGGGATGGAAGCTGGAATTGGGGGTGCGGGATGGAGCGGAGAGAGGAGGCCCCGCGCGCCGTCGGCCGCCTCATTTCAGACTCCCCTGCGACCCCCCCCCCGCCGCCAGCCGAAGCCCGGGCCGCCCAGCCCCTCCTGCCGCTGCGGGACGCCGAAGGTAGCGCTCACATCCGCGCCTTCCGGGCCTGGCGCCCACGTGCGGAGTCCCCGGGTTAGGAAAGGCCGCGCATCCGGAGGCCACGCAGAGCCTCGGGGCTTGCGCAGAGGGGCTGCGGTGAGTCCTGACCCTGAGTGGGGGTCACGGGGCTCGTTGCTCGCTGAAGTGAACACGGTTGCAGCTGTGCACAGTGGCGGAGGGAGAGGATGAGGGACTCTGACCCAAGGTTATGTGGCAGTGAGGGGCAAGCAGAAATGGGGGCCTCCGGACCCCACCCCGAGACAGGGCTGCTGGCCGCTGCACTATGCTGAATATAGCCCAAATTCTTACATGGGTCGTCCCCGGGGAATGCTCATTTTTCAGGCTCCAGAGCTTGAGAGAAAGTGCGAACCCGGTCCCTGAGCAGGTCTGATTCCCATGGCCCCTTCGCCATCTGCTCTGCACCGAAATTGGATTCTCCTACGCAGAGGAGAAGGTGGAGAAGATTCTCCGTCTTCCGGAGGGTAGCTACTGCCGGTAGCTCCGATTTCCTTCGGATCCCCTTTCAAGGGCAAGCAGAAGGAAATCAGTTTCTCCAAAGAAAGTGGCCCGGCTGAGTAAGTGGGAACAAGGTGGTTGGACTGAGGCACGGGATCCTTTAGCTCCGTTGCTCTTCTAATCCCGTGGCCCTGGGCACCGCCACTTCCTCCTCTGAACTGCTGGAATAATCACTTCTGACTAGCAGAGTTACTGGGAGCCGCTGTTTGTCAGTGTTCACATTCTGACTTTAGCAGGAGATGGAGCGAGCGAAGGAGTGAAGCCCTTGTTTGTGAACAGTGATTGTTTCCCGGATGACAGCCAGATGCCGGGCAGGGCCACGCAGATCTTAGCTGGAGCCTACAGGTACAAGTGAGAGCCACCCCCTTTGACGTAACTGGACTGGCATTTACAGAACTCATGTACAGCCCACTCTCAGGAACACCAGCCAGGAACCGTGACATGGAGGAGAGGAATTGGGAGGAACCGAGGGGTCATCAAAGGCTGGTAGGGCTTAGGTGCTCTAGCAAACATCCTAGTCTGTGGGGTTCCAGAGCTCTGGTGCTACAGCTCCCAACCCTTTGATTGGCCCAGGAACTGGCTGTTGAGTGGGCATCCGTGTTCATAGCTCTGCCCCTTGCAACCCTAAAGCAGATAAAATGCAGGAGGCAGAAATTGCTGGCAGACAGCATCCAATTAATCCCCACTACCCAATTCAGTTTCTTCCCCTGACCTGACACGTCCCTGCCCAGCTGTGCCTCCCACTGTTCACCTTTTGAGGCACAAAACGGGCTGTTTATGCTGCTGCTGCATTTAGCTCAAAACAGGGCTTCAGAGTCAAGGTTCTGGACTCAGGCACCCGGATTAAATCCTGCCCTATGAATTCCTAGCCAGGTGACCTCAGGCCTACATAACCTTTCTGTACCTCAACTTCCTCATCCAGAAAACAGGGATGATGCTGTCTACCTCATTGGATGGTTGTGCAGGATCAAAGATTCAGTCATTCAGCAAACCTATACCGAGTACCTACTGTACACTCATGAGTGCTAGGCAGCCAGCCTTCCAGGTGCTCAGGTACATCTGTGAACACAACTGGCTATTGGAGGAAGCAAAATCAGTAACATGACCTGCTCTCTTTGATCTGTGCTACAGAAAAAAAGGAAAGTGGAGAGGCATCAGGAAGTCAGGAGTGCTGGGGAGGGGCTGGTAACAGTCATGGTATTAAAGAGGAGGGCAGGCAGGCCTTACTGTGAAGGTGGTATTTGAGATGAAGTAGTTGGTCAGAGTCCCTGTTTGACACATGGAGACCACCTTGACAGCAAAGGCCCTAAGGGGGAGCGGTGCGAAGCAAGGTGGGCTGGTGAGTGAGAGGAGAGGGATGGCATAGAGCTGGGTGGGGGCACAGGAGCCCGTGGGGAAGGTGTTCGCCTCTGAATGAAGTGGGGTTGTATCAGATACCACGGGTGAAGCATCGGGAAGAGGATCCTGCCTGTAAACCCTGCTCAAGGACTGCACCATCATCATGCCCAGTGTGTGCGTGTATTAGGTTTGTATGAATATAATGTTGCCAATTGTATCTGTTTTTATGAAATGTTTGCTATGTGCCAATGATTATTCGATCCATGGGGAGACCATAGAAGAATGATCCAAGGAGTTGGGAGGGGAATCAAATAATAAATCAGCGATTCTGCAATATAACGCCATTGGTGATCGGTGTCATGAAAGAAATACAACATGGTGGGGAAGAGTGTGCTGGGGATGTTCAGGTAGGGCCTCTGTCAGGAGGTGACATTTGAGTGGAGAGCAGGTGGGGGGCTCCTGAGCAGAGGTGTGTGGGAAGAGTATTCCAGCAGAGGAAACAGCGTGTGCTTGCTCAGCTGGGCAGAGGAATAGTGAGAGAATGGTGAGGCTGGAACCAGGTCACCAGATGTTATAGTCATTAGAGGGTTTCAAGTAGGAGTGTGGCCTAACGGAATCTTGATTTTATCAAGATCACTGTGCAGAACAGATGAAGCAGAGTCTCTGTTAGGAATCGTTGTAGAGATCCCGGCAGGAGATGCTCGGTTCCTGGAGTTGACTGGTGGAGGCACAGCTGGTGAACAGTAGGCCCAATCCAGGCTCTGTGTTGAAGGCATGCTGCCTGTGTTAGAGGAGTGAGGAACGGCTGTGACTGGGGCTGAAACTGGGTGACTGAACAGGCCTTCTAGAGATGGCAGATGCAAGGAAGCAGGTTTCCAGGAAGGGGTTGGGTTTGGGGTTGAATTGGTGGATTTGGGACTTGCTGGTTTTCAGATGCCCAGGAGACAAGTGGGGATGACCCTCTGGGATAGAAAGCTGTGGCTGGAGGTGGAAATCTGGAGTCACCGTATGTAGCAGGAGCTGGGGCTTGAGAGGGTTGAGTGTGTTTTGAGAAGCAGCCCCAGGGAGGGCAGACCCTGCGAAATGCCAGCCCTGGACCGTGGGAGCCCAAGGGGTTAGTGGAGGAGAAGGGAGAGAAGGGGAAGTAGGAGGAGGAAAGTGAGGGAGGACGAGGGCAAGAGAAGGGGGTAGGGAGAGCTGCTGCCGCCTTGAGATAAAAGGAAAATTGCAGGTGTGGAGCCCTGGAATCCAAGTGAGCACCTGTGTTTCAAGGAGAGAAAGAGGTCAGGGGGATAAATCCTGCGCCAAGATCAAATCCGATGAGGAAAGAACACTGCCCATTGAATCTGGTAGAGAGGCCCCTGAGCAAAGCAGACAGTGGAGCTCCTGGGCTAGGGCACTTTCTGGAAGAGAAGGGAGATGAGAGTGGACACAGCCCTGTGGAGAAAAACGGTCTCATCTTAAAGATGGGAGAAATTGCAGTGCATCGCCTGGAGGAGGGAGGGCTGGCACCCAGGGCCCACGGGGAGCCGGAGGGCAGGGAAGGCTGCCTCTGGACCTGAGGCATGTCCACAGCATCTGGGCAGGGAGAGCCTGGGGCAGGCTTCTTCCAACTTTGCCAACACTCCAGTAAAATAAGGAGCAAGTGTGACGTTTTATTTTATGAGGCAACTTGGCTAGCTGTGGTACTCAGTTTTTGTTCAAACACCAGTCTGGTGTTTCTGTGAGGCTGTTTTTTAGATATGATTAATAGTTAAATCTGTAGACTTTGAATGCAGCGGGTTACCCTCCATAGCGTGGGCGGGCTTCATCCAATCTGTCGAAGGCCGTAAGAGCAAAGACTGCAGTCTCCTGAGGAAGGAACTCCCCCTGCGGCGCGCCTTCCGACTTGCTGCAGCTTCGGCTTTCTGGATCTGCAGCCTGCCCTGCAGATTTTAGACTTGCAAGCCAATCAGTTCCTTAAAAGAAAACAGTCTCCCTCATCTCTCTCTATTGATCTCTAGCTCTCTATCCCCACCCCCTTCCCTCCCCCCACTCCACATGCTATTTGTTCCGTTTCTCTGGAGAACCCTGACTGCTACACAGGGCCCTTAAGTGACAGGGAGAAAGAGAGGGTGAAATGTGAGAGCAGGAGGAAGAGGGCGTGAGACGGCCATCTTGCAGAGTGGAAAGGTGAATGGACGATAACAAAGGAAAGGGTGAATTATATATAACCTGGAAAGTGAAGTGTGCACAAGGAAATGTGATGTGTAACCTAAAGCCCCAGTGCTTTGCAGGTGGGCAGCCGTTCCACTGTGACATCGCCCCCCAGGTGGGCAGCCGTTCCACTGTGACATCACCCCCTGCAGAGGAGGTCATCATTCCGCATAATATGCTTGTAGACTGATGACAAATACAGGTGTGCAAATATGTGAAGCCCCATCACTGGACCAACCACACCTGCCTTCTCTGGGAGCTGTCAGTACCCACAGGCCCCAACCACAGCTTGCGCGGCTAACCAGGCACCAGGGACTTGCATGCTTTTTGCAATGTGAGAAGCTCTGTTGTAAGCTGGGCATAGTAGATACTCAATAAACTGTGGCTTTAGGAACAGTCCTAGGAATAGTAGTGCTAGTTCTTACTGTGTTAGTCACAGACATCTAGGGGGCATGGACAGCAAGGCATTAATCTGGTCCCTTATTGTGGCCTGTGGAAAGGGGTCAGTGAGAAGCTGCTCAGTGAAACAGCTTTGCATGATGACATTTTCTCACTATAGAGGCCTCCCAGCTGTCACAGAGGCCTGTTCATCTATTTTATTTTTTCTTTTTTTGAAAGCAAAAACACTTTGAGATTTGCAGGTAGGCTGACATAACCCACTCTCAGGGGCTCCAGTGAAAGTACCTCTTTTAAGTGGCCAAGTTGTCACTAAAGAGATGACATCTTTTTCCTGGAAATCAGCGTTGGATGCTACAGTCAAGAAAATAAAGACCCCAAACATTGGTATTTGGAGCTATTCTTGAGCATTGGGTTGTTCATGTTTATTCAGCTGGACCATCAGGGACAAGCTTGTGCCTTGACAAATTCAGATTTGCAGAAATGACCAGATTTATCGTCTTGATTCAGTGAGCGGGGGAGGGCACCCAGAGGAGGCTGGAATATGGCTTGATAATGGGAGAAGTATTTTTGCGAGGTTTGCTCCGGATGGAGGAGGAGAAGGAGGAAGAGGGGGAGGGGAGGAGGAGGATGATGTCAGGTGTGATGTAAGTGTGGGAGTAAGTCTCCCTTGTGGGATCTTTAAGAATCACTCCCAAGTGGCTGCAGCAATTACAGTCCAAGAATGATATGAAAGTACAGGATTTATGCTGCTCCAAGGTCCTGGAGAGGGAGGCACCGCATGCGTGCAGGGCCGTGTTGGATGAGAGCCAAGGGCCCAGGCTCTGCAGTGCAGGTGGGGGGTCGAGAAAGAGAGAGAACCCGTGGGCAAGTACCTGTGTCGGGGGGTCAGGGTGGGGCACACAAGCAGAAGGTATGAGGGGATTTTACTGGTGCATTGGAATGTCGCTGGGTCACAGTCGGGGGAAGGCAAGAAGGGGACCTGGAGGCAGAGACCAGGCTTATCACACCAGTGTGCCTAGTTGCTTGGGGGACTCACAGCCTGTGTGTGATACTGAGGCCTCATGGAAGTATGAAGTTTTAATAATTGATAATGTATCAGGGAAGTGGGAGTCGCATCTGCACTGGTTGTTGTTTAGAGGGGGGCTCAGAAGAAGTAGGGGTTCACTGAGGGTGATGGGCCGTCAGGAGGCAAGGATGCCTTGGTTGTTGCGTTCCCCCAGTCATAAATGAGTGCAGCAAGTGGGTCTAGGGCGTTCTTGGTTAGAAAGCAGGAGTCCATCTGTCAAGCGGGCGTTGTGGCGTTTCGAAGCTTTGGCAAGACCTTGGGGAAAACCACGTGTCCTGTGAATGCACAGTGGGTTACTCGTCTGTCTTCTTAGCCTGATGAAAGGCAGGGCTGCCTGTTCTCTTTTCTCAGTCCTTACAGATCTTGTAGATTTTCTCACATTCGCTCCTGGAGAGGTTTTTTTTTGTTTTTGTTGCTGTTGTTGTTGTTGTTTTGAGAGAGTCTCGCTCTGTCCCCAGGCTGGAGTGCGGTGGCGCCATCTCGGCTCACTGCAACCTCTGCCTCCTGGGTTCAAGCGATTCTTCTGCCTCAGCCTCCTGAGTAGCTGGGATTACAGGTGCCCACCACAACGCCTGATTAATTTTTGTATTTTTAGTAGAGACGAGGTATCACCATGTTGGTCAGGCTGGTCTTGAACTCCTGACCTCGTGATCCACCTGCCTTGGCCTCCCAAAGTGCTGGGATTACAGGCGTGAGCCACCGCGCCCAGCCTGGAGAGGTTTTGATGCTCTTAGGAGGGAAACGCCTTGATGTTACAGTTCCGCAGATGTTTCCATGAATGTGAGTTTGATCCTTTGTGATCGTCTTTGTTGTCTGCTCCTTAAATGCATTGAATCCTAGCATCCTTGGAATTTCAGGAGGGAAACTGATGTTCAGAGAAAGAGGATAGTGGTCAGGGACCCAGTGTTACAGGGGTATGTGTGTGTGTCTGAATGAGGGAGGGATGGGGAAGTAGACTTTGTACGGAATATGTTCAGCATTTGCTAGGTATATTATCTGCATTGTATTGCCTAATTCTCACCACCATCCCGGGAAGTTGGAGCCCTGAGTAGTGTTTGGACTCTGCCTTCCAGAAAAGAAGGGTTTGCTGCAGGCCTCAAATGGGGTGATTGGTTCTTGGGTGAGTAAATACCAGAGTAAACTCCTCTGGTATTGTAGGACAGTGTTTTGGTCGATCTAGTAAAGGGGGAAAACATCCTTACTCACAGTTCTGGAATTTTATGTCCAGCTATTCCTTGTATGCCATGTCACTTAGGAAAATTTAAAAAGTATCTGGCTGGGTGTGGTGGCTCACACATGCCTATAATCCCAGCACTTTGAGAGACCAAGGCAGGAGGATCACTTGAGTCCAGAAGTTTGAGACCAGCCTAGGCAACATAGCAAGAACCCATCTCCACAAAAAATTTAAAAATTAGCTGGGCAAGGTGGCACATACTTGTAGTTCCAGCTACCTGGGAGGCTGAAGCAGGAAGATCACTTGAGCCGAGGAGGTGAGCTATGATTGTGCCACTGCACTCCAGCCTGGGCAACAGAGTGAAACCCTGTCTCAAACAAAACAAGTAAATATCAATTCTGTTCAGCTTCCTGCCACCTTACTCTTTCCATAGCATTTTCTGAAATTCAAGTCACCTCTGACAACTCCACATTTTTCTCCTCACATCTAGTATTTGCCAATTGATAAAAAGTCTGGGAGCCTCAATGTGTCTTAGATTTATTTTTTTCTGTGCAATCCCACTTAGAAACCCTAACCTATATCTTGATTTCACCTCATAGCATAGCACAGACCTCATCCTGGATCCCACACCCTGATGTGTGTCCTGATTCCAGCTCAGAGCACAGACCTTATCCTGGATCCCAGACCCTGTTATGTGTCCTGATTCCAGCTCAGCACATACCTCACCCCGGATCCCACACCCTGATGTGTGTCCTGATTCCATCTCATAGCAGAGACCTCATCCTGGATCCCAGACTCTGTTGTGTGTCCTGATTTCACCTTATAGCACAGGCCTCATCCTGGATCCCACACCCTGATGTGTGTCCTGATTCTAGCTCAGAGCATAGACCTCATCCTGGATCCCACACCCTGTTATGTGTCCTGATTCCAGCTCAGAGCACAGGCCTCATCCTGGATCCCAGACCCTGTTGTGTGTCCTGATTTTACCTTATAGCACAGACCTCATCCTGGATCCCACACCCTGATATGTGTCCTGATTCCAGCCCAGAGTACAGACCTCATCCTGGATCTCACACCCTGATATGTGTCCTGATTCCAGCTCAGAGCACAGACTTCTTCCTGACCTCAGCATCTCTCTCCAGCCTGCTCACTAAGGTGCAGTTTAAGCCATGCTGTCCCTACCCTGGGTATTTTCCCTCTGTCAGACCCACATACAGGGCAATTCTATTTCTGCCCCCTTGCTATCTGTGTTGCTTAAGTGGTGGGAGATGATGGGTTAATTTTTCCATTCATAAACTGTTGATACACCTGGCCCAAATGGATAGAACAAAATCTGGCACTTAAATACCCAGCGCAGAGTTAGAGATACTTAGCAGGTGCTTGCTCATCACAATCCTTCTTCCTCCTCTATTAGCTGCATATAAACTTTTAAACTTTATAGTGTATGACATTTCTCATTTTAGTGTATCTTAATCTGCCCTTCTGCCATTGAACACTGTAATAATTAATTTTCGGTGTCAACTTGACTGGGCTAAGGGATGACCAGATAGCTGGTAAAAGAGTAACTCCAGGTGTGTCTGTGAGGGTGTTTCCCAAAGAGACTGGCATTTGAATCAGACTGAGTAATGAAGATTTGCCCTCACTGATGTGGGCTGGCATTATCCAATCTGTTGAATGCCCAGAGAGAGTGAAAAGGCAGATGAAGGAGGAATTCTTTTTTCTTCTTGAGCTAGAGCACCCACCTTCTCCTGGTCTTAGACACTGGGGCTCCAGGTTCTTGCAGCTTCATACTCTGACAGTGGCCCCCCAGTTTCTTAGGCCTTCAGCCTCGGACCGAGAGTTACACCAATAGCTTCCCTGCTTCTCCAGCCTGCAGATTGCATATATGAGGCTTCTCAGTCTCTACAGTCATCCAAGCCAGTTTCCATAATGAATACCGTCTTCATTTATGTGTTTCAATCTGCATCCTGCTGGTTCTGTTTCTCTGAAGAACCCTAATACAGACGCCACCTGCCAGTTATTTGTGCTCCCACATGAAGTATTCTGAATTCCTCTCTATCTCCAAACATTCCAAGTACTTTCTCTAAGTCTTTTATTTTATTTATTTATTTCTCTGAGACAGGATCTCTGTTGCCTAGGCTGGAGTACAGCGGCACAGTCACCGCTCATTGTAGCCTCTACATCCTGGACTCAAGCAATCCTCCCACCTCAGCCTCTCAAGTAGCTGGGACTACAGGCATGTGCCACCATGCCCTGCTAAGTTTTTAAATTTTTTGTAGAGGTGAGGTCTCACTATGTTGCTCAGGTTGGTCTCGAACTCTTGGGCTCAAGGCATCCTCTCACCTCGGCCTCTCAAAGTCTTGGAATTACAGGTGTGAGCCACCATGCCAGGCCACTAAATCTTATAAGCATAGCATGATCTGTAGCAGGAATTCCTTAGCACTCTGTAGCTACCGTTTTTTTTAATTTTGCCAGTCTTCTTCCATCCCCGTTCCTTCAGGCCCAGTTCACTGCATGTGCAAATGGGGGTGGCAGGGAGGGTCTTGTAATGGGTAAAATTGTGTCCCCTAACATGGTTTATGTCCTAACTTTTGGTTCCTGAAAATGTGAACTTAATTTGGAAATAGAATATTTGCAGATGTAATCAAGTTAAGATGATACTGGATAAAGGTCATCATGAGTTAGAGTAGGCCCAACATCCAATGACAGGTGTCCCTATAAGGCCATGTGAGATGATAGAGACGGAGACTGGAGGGATGTGTACCAGGTCAGGAACACCACGGATTGGCTGTCACTCACCAGAGTCTAGGAGGAGGCAAGGAGGGGTCCATATTCCGAGCCTTCGGAGACAGCATGGCCCTGCAGATGCCTTGATTTCTGACTCTGTTGTTTCAGGCCACTCAGTTTATGGCAATCATGACAGCAGCCCTGGGAAACACAACAGAGGCTTGTTTCCTCTGACACCCACTGACTTGACTGACAGTCTTAGGAAACTTGCTGCCATCCTACTTTTCTGCTTGTTTTATAATGATTGTTACCAGACTGTTCACATTAAATGTCTTGTAAAGCTGAAACCCTGCACTGAGACTTGAAGCTTGTCACCTTCAGCTTTACCCACCAACACTTTTTTTTTTTTGAGATGGAGTCTAGCTCTGTCGCCCAGGTTGGAATGCAGTGGTGCGATCTAGGCTCACTGCAACCTCCACCTCCCGGGTTCACACCATTCTCCTGCCTCAGCCTCCCAAGTAGCTGGGACTACAGGTGCCTGCCACCACGCCCGGCTAATTTTTTGTATTTTTAGTAGAGACGGGGTTTCACCATGCTGGCCAGGCTGGTCTCAAACTCCTGACCTTGTGATCCGTCCACCTCAGCCTCCCAAAGTGCTGGGATTACAGGCGTGAGCCACCGTGCCTGGCCCACTTTTTCCTTTTTTTGAAACGAGGTCTTGCCACATTGCCCAGGCAATCTTGAACTCCTAGGCCCACGTGATTTTCCCAAGTAGCTGGGATTACAGGCACACACCCCATGACCTGCTTTTCCCCTGCCTTTTAGTTCCCACACCTCACTGGTTAAAATTGACAATGTCCTCCAACTCCGATCCATCAGCTCTTTTGAATTCTGGTTGCCTTTTGTTGAGTTGTCTCATGGAATATCGAGATAATTGCCAACAGATCTCAGTGCCTTTCTTTCTTTCCCTCTGAGTTAATTCAACTTGGCATTTACTGGGTATCAAATCAGACAGCAGCCTCACTCAAGCGTGAGCAAGTGGGGCTTATTCTGGATGACCTGGAAACCCCACGGGTGCAATCGGAAGATGAAATAAGTGAGACTGACAGTAATGCAACGAGGCGGGCGGCACCTCCCGGGGAGAGGAGCAAAATGCCTCCCTGGTGAGTCCCCCCTCCCACCAACAAGACAGCGTAGCAGCCGAGGGAATTGCCCTCTGAAGATCTGCTGAAAAATCAACTGACAAAATTCAGATGAATAGGAGAAAAGGCATACAGATTTGTTCGATCGTAGTTCTAATGACTCATAGTTCTAAATGACTCAGAGGCCTTCAGAATGAAGGCCCAGAGACACAGGGAAAACTGTCTATTTTTTTTTTTTTTTTTTTGAGATGGAGTCTCGCTCTGTCACCCAGGCTGGATTGCAATGGCACAATCTCAGCTCACTGCAACCTCTACCTCCTGGGTTCAAGCGATTCTCCTGCCTCAGCCTCCTGAGTAGCTGGGACTACAGGCACATGCCACCACACCCAGCTAATTTTTGTATTTTTAGTAGAGATGGGGGTCTCACCATGTTGGTCAGACTGGTCTTGAACTCCTGACCTGGTGATCGGCCCACCTCAGCCTCCCAAAGTGCTGGGATTACAGGCGAGAGCCACCGCACCCAGCGGAAAACTGTCTATTTTTATGCTGAGGTTCAACAAAGTGTAGATAGCAACGCAGAGAAATGATTGGGGAAAAGGGCATGATCTAAGGCTAACAGGCTGAGTGGGGAAAGCCAGCAGGGCATCTGCTTAGATTCTTCCTGGCTTTCCTGTGCAGCATGTCTTCTGGCTATGGGGCAGCCCCTCTACGGAATGGTGGGGGGGGTTCTTATGACCTACCATCAAAAAAGGTAGGTCAGATTATTTATTTATGGTCAGTTTTTATACAGAAGGTTGGGGGAAGTTAGATTAATATTTTTAGGTATAATGGCTGGCTTTAGGGAAAAGGGGGTTCTGGTTTCACTTTGGAGAAGAATTCTAGTTTCTATTGTTGGCCTCGGGAAAATGAGAGGCCAGAGACAGGAAGGCAGGAGAAGGTCAGAAAATTTGCTTCTGAGGCTGCTACTGAGGTTTTCATTTTGGGGTATCATCTTAACCCCAAGAACAAGAAGCTTCATTCCCTACAGAGGTGTTCACAGCCAGGAGGGGCAGCCTACAGGTGACTAGGGCACAGTGCATTTGGAGAAGAACTAGCAGGACAATCAGCAGGTCCACATTAGCTCTGGACTTCCCTGCCCTGTCATCAGCCAGGGGTGGCTCCAAGGGGGCATCTTTTAGGTTTTGTTTCAGGCTTATTGGGGATTCCCCAGCTTAAAAGAAAGAGGGAAGGGCATCCAGGAGACCTACACAAAGGTGGGGCCTGTTTTTTTTTTTTTTTTTTGAGACAGAGCCTCACTCTGTCGCCCAGGCTGGAGTGGAGTGGTGCGATCAGCTCATTGCAACCTCTGCCTCCCGGGTGCAAGCAACTCTCATTCCTCAGCCTCCCAAGTAGCTGGAATTACAGGCATGCACCACCATGCCCGGCTAATTTTTGTAATTTTAGTAGAGATGGGGTTTTGCCGTGTTGGCCAGGCTGGTCTCAGAAACTCCTGGCCTCAAGCAATCTGCCCACCTTGACCTCCCAAAGTGCTGAGATGACAGGCGCCAGCCACCGCGCCTGGCCAAGCCTCCTGAAAACACTATTTGGAGGGAACTGTGTGACAGACTTGGCAATAAGACCTGGAGGCCCCCCGGTACACCATGCTGAAGAATTTGGTTTTTACTCTGCAGGCTGGAGTTTATGATTTTTTGCCTGCATCCCCAAGAAAGGCACATGCTCTGATAATTCCTGCTGTATTCTGTTAGAAGAAGGCAGGACTAGGCCGGGTGTCATGGCTCCCACCTGTAATCCCAGCACTTTGGGAGGCATGTGGATCACCTGAGGTCAGGAGTTGGAAACCAGCCTGGCCAACATGGTGAAGCACCGTCTCTACTAAAAATACAGAAAATTAGTTGGGCGTGGTGTCAGAGGTCTGTAATCCCAGCGACTTGGGAGGCTGAGACAGGAGAATCCTTTGAACCTGGGAGACGGAGGTTGCAGTGAGCCGAGATCGCACCACTGTACTCCAGCCTGGGCAACAAGAGGGAAACTTTGTATCAAAAAAAAAAGAAAAAAAAAAAAGCAGGACTGCTATTGACAAAGATTTTCTCGACCAAACTCTACTCATGCTCCCTGAACTCTTCTCAAGCCCTGATTTTTGGGCTTCTGTGTTTATCTCTGCACATTGTCTAATCCTGCTAAGTCAGTTTAGCCAGAATCCTGCACCGTTGATACTGATCACCCTTGATATCTGATTGAGTTCCTCATCCTCCATCATGCCTCTGGTGATGTGGTATCTGATCACCGTGATATCTGATCAGGTTCCTTGTCCTCCATCATCCCCCGGGTAAAGTCTGATCACCATGGCCTGCCTTCAGCAAGAGTCCTGTTAGGTCCGTTCAGCCAGAATCCCCATGCCCATGGTGTTTCTTCTTAGTAATTTTCTGCTGACCCCCACCCTGCTCCTTGGCTATAAATTTCCACCTTTACTTGTGTTCAGAGTTGAGCCCAATCTCTCTTCCCCACTGTAAAACACTGCTGTGGTGGTCCCTATACTTATCTCCATTGGCCACCTGAATAAAGTCTGCCTAACTGTTCTTTAATCAGTAGTATCATCATTTTTTCATCAACACTGTCACATGTTATAATGGGTCTTTCAAGCAACAAAGTGGGCCAGGCATGGTGGCTCATGCCTGTAATCCCAGCACTTTGGGAGGCTAAGGTGGGCAGATCATTTGAGCCCAGGAGTTAAAGACCAGCAAAGGCACCATCTCTACAAAAAACAAATAATTAAGTAGGCATGGTGGCTCACACCTAGATTCCCAGCTACTTCAGATGATTTTTTTTTTTCTTGAGACAGAGTCTTGCTCCATCACCCAGGCTGGAGTGTAGTGGCACCATCTCGGCTCACTGCAACCTCTGCTTCCCGAGCTCAAGCAATTCTCCTGCCTCAGCCTCCTGAGTAGCTGGGACTACAGGTGTGCTCACCATGCCCGGCTAATTTTTGTATTTTTAGTAGAGATGGGATTTCACCAGGTTGGCCAGGCTAGTTTCGAACTCCTGACCTCAAGTGATTCGCCTGCCTCAGCCTCCCAAAGTACTGGGATTACAGACATGAGCCACTGCGTCTGGCCTTGAAAGGATTGTTTAAACTCAGGAAGTCAAGGCTGCAGTGAGCTATGATTACACCACTGCATCTAGCCTGGGCAATAGTGCAAAATCCTGTCTCTGAAAACAAACAAAAAAGACAACAAAGGTGTTAGTGAAAGGTTCTCATCAGGCTAAGGGCATCTTAACAGGTAGCAGGGTTCAGTTAGCCTATTTGAGAAGGACAAACTGTAGCCCCAAGGCCAGGAGAGAGGTGCAGGTCTGTGGTTCACTGGCCAAGTGACAAGAAAAGATGACGCCGCAGGTGGAAAAGTGCACACTTGACCTTGTGATGGTTATATCCTGTTCTTTAAAATATTGTACAACAGTAGCTTTGGGTTATAACTACAAGATGTATATAAAACATAAATGAGCCAGGTGTGGTGGCTCATGCCTATAATCCCAGCACTTTGGGAGGCTAAGGCAGGAGGATTGCTTGAGGCCAGGAGTTTGAGATCAGTCTGGGAAACATAGGGAGGCTGTATCAATAAACATTTTTAAAAAGGGTGCAATGGCACCTGGCTGAGCCCAAGTTTGAGACTGCGGCGAGCTATGACCCCACCACTGCACTCCAGCTGGGCCACAGAGCAAGACACTGGCTTTTCTTTTTTTAAAGAAAGAAAAATGAATTTTATGTTTAGGCTTGGTTCCCATCTTCAAGATATCTCATTATGTATTTGTAAATATTCCAAAATTTAAAAAAATCCAAAATCCAAAACGCCACTGCTCCCAAGCATTTCGGATAAGGGATACTCAACCTGTACCACAGACTGGGTGACATGAACAAACATTTATTTCTGGAGGCTTAGACGTCTAAAATCAAGGTGCTGGTATAATCAAATGGTGGAGATCCCCTCCCTGGTTCATAGAGGGCTATCTTTCTATGGTGGGGGTGGGTAGAGCTCTCTGGGGTCTCTTTTATAAGGGCACTAATTCCATTTATGGTGTTCCATCTTCATGACCTAATCACCTCCCAAAGCCCCACCTCCTAATGCCATCACAATGGAGGTTAAGATCTCCACATAGGAATCTAGGGGGACATAAACATTCATTCCAGTTATGTCCCCCCAGATTCATATGTTTGGACCGGGCGTGGTGGCTCACACCTGTAATCCCGGCATTTTGGGAGGCCTATGTGGGAGGATCAGTTGAGCTCATGAGTTCCAGACCAGCCTGGACAATATAGGGAGACCCCGTCTCTACAAAACAAAAATAAAAAATTTTATCCTGGCGTGGTGGTGTGGCATATGGTCCCAGCTACTTGGGAGGCTGAGGCATGAGAATCACTTGAACCTGGGAGGCAGAGGTTGCAGTGAGCTGAGACCGCACCACTCTATTCCAGCCTGGACAATAGAGCGAGACCGTGTCTCAAAAGACAAAAACAAAAAGTTACTTTGCATGCTCATTTATTGTGTGTTGAATTAGAATTTACTTCCATCCTTCGTGTCACTTTCAAAAACCTGTGTCTCACCATCATCAGTCTACTTAACATAATTTCTTCTAAAAGTCCCGCCCCCCCCCCCCCCCGCTCCTATGTAACTGCTCCTATCAGCAAATTCTGAGAATTCTGGGGACTCTGATAAGTCCTCAGAAATTATCCAGTATCGTATTATCTAATTGAGTTGAAACCAAGGCCAGGAAAGAGGAAGGACCTAAAGCGCTGGAAGAATTTCTGGGCCCCAACCACTCCCAGTTTCGGTCTCTTTCTACCAGGGACTGGTGCAAGACTGTCTAGAATTCCAGAGCCTTCTCGATGTTCGGGTCAGACCTCCATGCTCTCCAGCACCACTCCTCCCCAACCCTCTCCAGGGGTCCCCTGGCTTCGCACGGTTCCCCTCCCCGGCCCCCACCTCCCCATCCCCAGTAAGTGCAAGCAGCTTTCCGGGGCAGGCAGCTGCCCTACACCTGGTGCTTACAGGGAAGTGGAGAGGAGGGGCAGGCGGCTGGAGCGGGGGTCTCCAAGGTGGGCCTGGAGCCCGGCGGGCTCTGGGGCGCTGAGCTCATCTCGCCACGCCCTGCGCGCATCCGCGCAGAAATTTGGGAGGTGGGGTTGAGTCTCGCAAGCTCCTCTCCGCCAGGCTGGGCCGCAGCGGACGCCGGCTCCCCGATCACCCGCTCAGCAGCTTTGGCCCAGGAAGACCTGCAGCCCTGGCTCCCTTGCAGGGGTGCAGCTGGGGTCTCACCCAATTCCCGGCATAAATGAATGGAAGAGGCCTAGGGGTGAACGTTTATCTCCACATTACTGTGCAGATCATTCAAATCGGGACTAACCAGAACCGCAGTCTTCCCATTTCTAGGGAGGAAAGTTGCTCTTAAAAATTTTTACAGTAAATAATTTTCCTAGTGGACCTCCTTTAAAGGGAAATTGCCGTATTCACCCCTCAGTTGTTCCAGTGCTTTGTTTGTGTCAGAAATTAAATGAATAAGCCAGAGAGAACCTCTTGGACCTGCTGCACCAAATTCACAAATGAAAAGTTCATCACCGCTTGAGGGCGAGTGGCTTCTGGGGCTCAGCTCTCAGTGACCTTTAACCACGGCTCCTCACCAGGTTCCAGTGAATTTGGAAGAGGAATCCCTTTTTCTCTTTTCCAGAAAAGTCGCTGATTCCCAGTGTCTTTCCTACTGAGGGCTTTTTGAAGCATTCGGAGTTCAGTTTCTCTGGATTGTTATGGGCCCAGCTTCTGGGGCCCGTCCAGTAAATACCACTCCATTTGAGAAGAGAATAAATAGGCAGTTACCTCTCTTGGACAAAAACGTTCCGATCCATCCCCTCTGAACTTGGAAAGAAATCCCCCCCTTCTCAACAGGTCTTGCACCGTTGTTTTTCACCCTATGAGTTCTGCATGTTTTATTCAACATGGTGGGTCTCCACAGATATTTTTTAGTGAAAGAGGCTGGTGGAGATTAGATGTGAGAGTGTATTGCTTTTTTTTTTTTTTTTTTTTTTTTGAGATGTAGTCTCACTCTGTCACCCAGGCTGGAGTACAGTGGCATGATCTCGGCTCACTGCAATCTCCGCCTCCCGGGTTCAAGTGATTCTTCTGCCTCAGCCTCCCTAGTAGCTGGGACTACAGGCACCCACCACCGCGCCCAGCTAATTTTTGTATTTTTAGTAGAGATGGGGTTTCACCATATTGGCCAGGTTGGTCTCGAACTCCTGACCTTGTGATCCACCTGCCTCGGCCTCCCAAAGTGCTGGGATTACAGGCATGAGCCACCGCGCTCGGCCGAGTGTATTGCTCTTATCTGGGAAATAACTCATAGACGTATTTCTGAAGGAGGGCTTTTCACATCTGCCAGCAGGAAGCGTGAGGGGAGGCTCCGCCCATCAGAAACCACTGCTTGCTTTAGCACAGCCCTTACCTCCAACAGTTTTATGGGCTCTCTTTTTTGAGGAAAGGAGACATCCTTCTCTAGGAATAGTTCTGGTTTGGGGACCCAGTAGGAGGTAGATCTGTTACAGGAAAGGGGTCCCAATCCAGGCTCCCAGAGACGGTTCTTAGATCTCAGGCAAGAAAGAATTCAGAGCAAGTCCACAATGCAAAGCCTTGTGTGTCCATAAAACCTAAGCCCTGGCTGGTGTTCAACTCCCGGCCTCAAGATCTCATCAGATCTACCCCTGGTGGATCCCCAAACTAAATCCAAGCCTCACCACGGCCACCTGTCTGGACCCCAGAATCTAAAGGCTCAACACCAGAGACATAAGCTCACGGACAAATCAAGCAAGTATTCAAAATGTCACAAAACAACTGTTTTATGACTTTGAAACATCTAGCAGAGGCTGGGTGTGGTGGCTCACACCTGTAATCCCAGCACTTTGAGAGGCCAAAGCTGTAGGATCACTTGAGCCCAGGAGTTCTAGACCAGCTTGGGCCACACAGTGAGACCCTGTCTCTACAAAAAAATTTAAGAATTAGCCAGGCATGGTGGCACCCACCTGTAGTCCCAGCTACTTGGGAGGCTGAGGTGGGAGGATCACTTGAGCCCAGGAGGTTGAGGCTGCAGTGAGCCATGATTACACCACTGCACTCCAGCCTGGGTGACAGAGTGAGACCCTGTCTCAAAAATAAAATAAAATTTTAGCCATGAGACTGAAAAAACTCACTAATTTAAAAGGACATTTGGGGCCAGGAGTAGTGGCTCACACCTGTAATCCAACTGATATGGTTTGGCTGTGTCCCCACCCAAATCTGATGTTGAATTGTAGCTCCCATAATTCCCACGTGTTGTGGGAGGGACCTGGTGGGAGATAACTGAATCATGGGGGCGTTTTCCCCCAGACCATTCTCGTGGTAGTGAATAAGTCTCATGAGATCTGATGGTTTTGTAAAGGGAAACCCCTTTTACTTGGCTCTCTTTCTCTCTGTTGCCTGCTGCCATGTAAGATGTGCCTTTTGCCTTCCACCATGATTGTGAAGCCTCCTCAGACATGTGGAACTGTGAGTCCATTAAGCCTCTTTTTCTTTATAATTTACCCAGTTTTAGGTATGTCTTTATCAGCTATGTGAAAATGACTAATACATCAACTCTTGAAGAGGCCAAGACAGGAGGATTGCTTGTGGCCTGAAGTTTGAGACCAGCCTGGGCAAAGTAGCCAGACCTCATCTCTACCAAAAAATTAAAAAAAAAAAAAAAAATAGCTGGGTGTGATTGTGTGTGCCTGCATTCCCAGTTGCTTGGGAGGCTGAGGTGGGTGGGGTCACTTCAGCCCAGAAGTTGGAGGTTGCAGTGAGGTGTGATTGCACCACTGCACTCCAGTGTGGGCGACAGACTGAGACTCTGTTTCTAAAGAAAAAAATAATAATAAAAATAAATGAAAGGACAGTTGGATTAAAACTGTGGCCCTGTAAATGGAACAAGTTAATCTGTCCCACATAGCTGAGTTGTAGAGAATATAGGGCAGCAAATCTACACCTCAAAGCAGAGAGAGAGAATTTAAGCTTTTTTTTTTTTTTTTTTTTTTTTTGGTGAGACAGACTCTTACTCTGTCACCCAGGCTGAAGTGCACTGGAGTGATCTCAGCTCACTGCAACTTCTACCTCCCAGGTTCAAGCGATTCTCCTGCTTCAACCTCCCAAGTAGCTGGGATTACAGGCGCCTGCAACCACACCTGGCTAATTTTTGTTTTTGTTTTTGTGTTTTTTTTGAGGCAGAATCTCACGCTGTTGCCCAGGTTGGAGTGCAATGGCGCGATCTCGGCTCACTGCAACCTCTGCCTCCTGGGTTCAAGCAATTCTTCTGCCTCAGCCTCCCGAGTAGCTGGGATTACAGGCGTGTGCCACCACAGCCGGCTAATTTTTTTTTTTGTATTTTTAGTAGAGACAGGGTTTCACTGTGTCAGCCAGGATGGTCTCGATCTCCTGACCTTGTGATCTGCCCGCCTCAGCCTCCCAAAGTGCTGGGATTACAGGCATGAGCCACCATGCTTGGCCTAATTTTTGTATTTCTAGTAGAGACGGGGTTTTGCCATGTTGGTCAGACTGGTCTTGAATTCCTGACCTTAAGTGATCCACCTGCCTTGGCCTCTCATAGTGCTGGGATTACAGATATGAGCCACTGCACCTGGCCAAATTTAAACATTTTTAAGAAGAAATTTGTGTGTGTTAGGTAAAGGGAGGTTAAAAATGGATGCCAAGGTTAACACAGAATCATAGGAATTTACAAGAGCATATAAGGAGACCAATTTTAGGTAGTTTTCAATGTAGTACCTATTAGAAATGGGTTCCCTTAATCATTGTATCCCTCCCCCATTTCAGACGGAGCTGAACTCCCATTTCCAAATGGGTGGTTTCCAATTTGGTCTTCATTTTCCAGCTGCACCACTGAGCTCAGTGCAGAGCCCATTAATGAATAGGGCCAACAAAGCATTTGCAGTTTTCAGGGCCTAATACTTATGTATTTGAAAAGCAAGCACAGCTGGAAGGCAGAACACCCAGATCCTCAGAAATCAAAGACCCTGTTTTTACATGGAGTCCTGGGTGTCTCAGAGCTGTGTTAAAAGCCCAAGAGGGAAATGTCATGGGCCAGGCTGAGCAACACTTCCACCATGCACCTTGCTGCAAAGGTATTCCCCCTGGGCTGGTGGATGGCCCAGTGCCAGTCAGCCCACTGTGTGATCAGCCCATCTCTCATGGGTATCTTTTTTTCCAGTATTAAGTGTTCCTACAGTCTCCAAGTTTCCAAACTTCACATTTCTTATCTAAATGTTCAAAGAAATGAGTACTCCCCTATAGTAGTAACCATTTGCCACAACTGTAGTCTGCCACCTCCAAGATTACACTTGCCAGTGACTCACCAGCCGTAACACACCCGAAGGTAATGTGCTCTTACAATACAAAATACTCCTGGTACCCATAAAAGCCAAAAAATATCAGGAAACTCAGACCGGGTGCAGTGACTCATGCCTATAATCCCAGCACTTTGGGAGGCTGAGGCAGGAGGATCACTTGAGCCCAGGAGTTTAAGAACAGCCAGGGCAACATGGTGAAAACCCATGGGTACAAAAAAATTAGCAAGGTGTGTGGTGATGTGCGCCTGTTGTCCCAGCTAATTGGGAGGCTGAGGTGGGAGGATCACCTGAGCCTGGGAGTTTGAGGCTGTAGTGAGCCATGATCGTCATAGGAACAGAAGGCAGAGAAATTCTGGGAGGGCAGTTCCCCAGCCAAGGCCCCACCTTCAATCTGAAAAGCCTGATACTGCCGCCCAAAGTGAGAACTTACATCCCTGTTTTCCCATTCAAATGGTGCCTTTTCCAAAACCACCTGTGGCCTGCTCTGTCCCCCATCCCGTGCCCATAAAAACCCCAGGCTCAACTGGCAGAGAGAGGGGAGGCAGCTGGACTTCGCAGACTGTGGTTGGATATGATTGAGAAGTGGCTTGACTTCAGAGGGACAGCTTGACAGCATAGCTTTAGAGAGGAGTCCAGCTGGGGATGGCCAGACTTCAAGGGAAGATTACCTTCCTGCTCCATCCCCTTTTCAGCTCCCTTTGCCACTGAGAGCCACTTTCATTGGCAATAAAATCCCCCACATTTACCATCTTTTCATTCATGTGACCTGATTCCTCCTGGACACCAGGCAAGAACTCAGGTGCCATGAGTGTGAGTGCAAAAGGCTGTCACACTGACCCTCCACTGAGCTGTTAACACTGAAGCTGGCCATGGACGGCAAAGCTAAAAGGGCACTGTAACACTTCTTCTGGGGCTTGAGGGATTGTGGGCACTCTCCCCTAAATGCTGCTGTGGGGCCGGTATGCAGTTCGCTTTTGCCAGCACCCAAAAGCACTCACTCAGGCTTCTGCACCTACTCACTGGTGCTCCCTCTCCGAGGAGTGGAGCAGTAGTGAATGGAGTTTGCCTCTGCTGGTGCCAAAGCAGCTGGCTGGTTCTAGCACCCGTGCGCCCCGGTTTCTGCCCACAAAAGGGTCAAGGAAATATCCTGCTTCAATTGTGTGAGAAAACATTTTCACTGGTCCATTTTCAAGGCCTGATAAATCTAAGCACTGGCAGCCAGTCTGTAAATGTAACAAACCACATGGCTCATGCACCCAGAAGGTCACAATAAGCAAACAGAATGTAGAGAAGGGGTCAGTCCATAAAAGGGAAGAAAGTTTCGTTATAGGGAAATCAAAACTTAAGTGGGAGCTGGGCGCAGTGGCTCACACCTGTAATCCCAGCATCTCGGAAGGCTGAGGCAGGTGGATCACCTGAGGTCAGGAGTTCGAGACTAGCCTGGCCAACATGGTGAAACCCCATCTCTACTAAAAATACAAAAATTAGCCAGGTGTAGTGGCAAGCGCCTGCAATCCCAGCTACTCAGGAGGCTGAGGCAGGAGAATTGCTTGAACCCAGGAGGCAGAGGTTACAGTTTGCCAAGATTGTGCCATTGCACTCCAGCCGGGGTGACAGAGTGAGATTCTGTCTCAAAAGAAAAAGAAAAGAAAAGAAAAAGAAAGAAGAAACTTAAGCAGGGAAGGAGACTGGGGTATAACCTTACAAGGAGGACAATGAAACTTAGATGACATCCGGGAAGATCGTAACCCCATAGTACTCGACCAATGAAGAACTAGCGGAGGGACTTGTGTGCTAGAAGATAAATTACCTGTTGTGACTGCCCCAGTTGTGCCTGCCCACCAGACACCTGATCTTGCAAGACCGTTACTAAATGTCTCCTTTTCACTGTTCTTCAGGCCTCTAAGTCCATTCTCTGGATTTGGACAGGTGAGTGTGTTTCTCACAAGCATGGGGGCCCATCTGGGATCCATGTGCCTGTGTGAAGTGGGACTTTGGCCGAGAGGGGAGATGTGTCCCACCTGATTTAGGTGGCCCGCTCTATCTGGGCATCCCAGCTTCCCATAGAAGGCATAAACAAACCCAAGACTATTATTCAGGAGGCAGCAGAAGCAACACAGGGAGAAAAGCAGGCACTGCGGGAACCAGGCAAACTCATGCACCAGCCAAGGAAGGAAAATTGGACTGTAAGTACTGCCTTGGTCATGGGGCATTTTTGGAGGTCTCGGGGTGTGCAAGAAACCTCCAGTAAGGGGGGTTGAGTAGACAGGGAAAAACTCAGACGCAGAGACTGGCAGAAAATGGGAAACAGGAATTCTAGGCCTGGGAGCCAAAGGAAAGAGGGAGCCAAAGAGACTCCGTCTGACATTCCCCTGGATAGTCCTTTGGGGAGATTGTTGCAGGTTTGGTGGAACAACCCTCGAACCAGGGACAAGGAAAAGGAAAAGATGATAAAGTATTGCTGTTTTGTCTGGCCCAAAGACCCCATTCATAAGCCTTCTGTCTTTTGGCCTAAGTTTGGCTCAGATGAGGATTGTGTTCTAAGCTTTAATTCTCTCTGTGAATAATAAAACTTCATCCTCACAAGAAGAGATAGGTTACTCTCTGCTGAATCAAGGAATTAGCCCCCATGATCCCCCTCAAAAAAGAAGAAAAAGAGCCTGGTGAAGAGCCCTCACCCAGTGAAAAGCCCTGGGACCCCCTATCGTGCTTGCCCCTTCATACGTCTCACAAAAAAGGGGACAGGAAGATCAAGGGGCAGCAGGAGGGTTAGAGGAAGAAAGACCCAGAGACTACAGGGGAGCCAAGCCAACTGCTCCTTTAAATCCTTATCCAAATTTAAGAAAAGAATTACAAGAGTGTAAGAGGGATATTGAGAACTTCCCTATCCCTTCCACACAGCAGGCATCTAGCATGTTCCCTCTTAGGGAAGTTCCCATGGGACAGGGAGAGATTGGCTTTGTAAACACTCCTCTTGCAAGTACTGAAGTTAGGAATTGCAAGAAGGAAATGAAACCACTCCTAGAAGATCCCCTGGGTTTAGCAGACCAGCTGGACCAATTCCTAGGACCCAGCTTTTACACTTGGGCTGAAATGATGTCTATCATGAATATCCTGTTCACGGGAGAAGAAAGGGGAATGATTAGGAGAGTGGCCATGACCAGTGGGGAGAAGCAACACCCTCCTGGGCAGTGAGACTTGCCAGCCAAACAAAAATTTCCAAATGTTGATCCCGAATGGGATAATAATGATCCCAGGGACTGGGCCCAAATGCAGGACCTCAGGAAACTAGTAATTCAAGGGATCAAAGAGTACACTCCTAGGACACAAAATGTCTCAAAGGCATTTGAGATTCAACAAGAAAAAGAGAAAACTCCCTTCACATTCCTGCAGAGGCTCAGAGATGAGAAAATACTCCAGATTAGATCCGGAGGACCCAGTAGGGCAAGGCCTGTTGCAGATTAACTTTGTTACTAAAAGCTGGCTTGACATTACAAAAAAAAAAATTACAAAAGATTGATGGATGGAATGAGAAACCGATTGAGGAATTACTGAGTGAAGCTCAGAAGGTCTTTGTGAAAAGAGGGGAAGAGAAGCAGAAACAGAAAGGGAACATCATGATTTCCACTGTGGAAGAGGTAGCCAAAAAAAGATTAGCTCAAGATCCCCCTCAAATGAGACAAGGGAATGATAGATTTCGACACAGAGAAAGAAAGGAAATGCAGGGGAAACCTCCTAAGACTATGAGTGGCTAGATGTTACAAGTGTGGAAAGCCAGGGCATCTTAAGAGAGAATGTCCTCAATGGAAAAAAGAAGAAGAGATGATCCCCCTCATGACCGTTGATGAATACAATGGGGGTCAGGGCTTCCTTCTGAGTAGGTCCCACCAAGAACCCTTGATAAATTGGAAGGCGGGACCTTAGGGAGAAGAAGTGACATTTTTGGTTGACACTGGGGCAGCTCACTCCTCCCTAATCCACAAACCAAAGGGTACAGAACTCTCTAAGGAAAAACTGAAAGTATTAGGCGTAAAAGGGGAGGGATTACAGGTTCTGATATTCAAGACAATGTTAATTAGACTGGGACCAGAACACATTGAGGGGTCACTCTTATATATTCCTGAAGCAGGAACTAACCTAGTGGGTAGAGACCTGATTGTGAGATTCAGTTTAGGATTAGGGATACACAGAAAGGACAAATGAAAGTAAGGATGGGCCTCCTAACAGAGGAGGAGGGAAGAAAAATTAGTCCCGTTTTGTGGTTTGGGAAAGGCAAGCGGGGACACTTAAGAATCACAGCCTTACAGATTGGACTAAAACAACCAGGAGGAGTTTGCAGAAAACAATATCCCATTTCTGTTGAAGGGAGAAAAGATCTCCAACCAGTAATAGAGGGATTAATTAAAAATGGACTGTTAGAACCCTGCATGTCACCATATAATACTTTTTTTTTTGAGATGGAGTTTCACTCTTGTCATCCAGGCTGGAGTGCAATGGCATGATCTCAGCTCACTGCACCCTCCACCTCCCGGGTTCAAGCAATTCTTCTGCCTCAGCCTCCTGAGTAGCTGGGTGCGTGCCACCACACCCAGCAAATTTCTTTTTGTAGTTTTAGTAGAGATGGGCTTTCACCACATTGGCCAGGCTGGTCTGGAACTCCTGACCTCAGGTAATCCACCCGCCTCAGCCTCCCAAAGTACTGGGATTACACGCTTGAGCCTGTGCCTGGCCAATACTCTAATTCTTTGTGTTGCTTATCTGGGAGGGAGAGATTCTGTGTCTATTCCCAGCCATCTTTTTGCAGCTGCAGGCATCTCCCACCGCCCCCCCATCCCAGTCAGCTTTAGCTTCCCTATCTTAATGTGCCTAAAGGGAAAGGAATGTGCTTATTAAGGCCCACTGTTTATACTGGGCCCGACTGTGGGAGTGTGAAGTTTGGTGTTTACCCAGGAGACATCCCCCGCCTCCTTCTATGCTTAAGTTGTTTATCTGTAGTTTATAGCCTGAACTTTCAGGCTACCCTTTGTTAAAAGAGAAGTGATTTCTTTGAACCGCACGAGATTAGAAAGGAAGCTATTTCAAGAGTGTTAAGGGGAATTATGGAAGGTTTACAAATTTGATGGGATTATCCCACCCCTTGGCATCCTGTGGAAAGGTAAAAAGAATAAACCAAACTCTCAAAAAGCATCTCACCAAACTAAACTTAGAAACTAAAGTGCCTTGGACCAAATATCTCCCATGGCTTTAGGATTAGGATTCGGACAGTCCCCAGAAAAGACTTGGGATTGTCCCCTACAAGTTATTATATGGACTCCCATATTTGGGCAGGGCTACAGATCCTCCCACTATGGAAACCAAAAACCAATTCTTAAGAAATGATATACTGGCCATATCTTCCACCCTGTCATCCCTCAGGTTAAAAGGTCTTCTGACGCAAGCTCTGCCTCTTGAGTTCATGGTTCACTACTTCCAGCCTGGCAACTTGGTGCTGACTAAGATTTGGAAAGAAGACAAGCTCCACCCAAGCTGGGAAGGTCCCTGTCAAGTGCCTCTGCCCCTGAGACAGCCCTGCGAACAGCTGAATGGGGGTGGACTCACTACACTGGAATCAAGAGGCCGGTAAAAGAGACCTGGAAAGGGAAGGAGAAAGAACAGTGGGAAGTGCATGGGTCACCTGACGAACACTTAAAGTTAACTCTGAGAAAAATTTAGAAAGAAAGCGTGGGCTGGCTGCATTTCTGAAAGGTAATAAGGCTGGGATGGGTTAGTATACAAAGAGCAGAAGGTCAAAATGGAAACTGGCAGGGGACTCCCCACTGCTCAATCAGGTTGGTGATTAATATGATTAAGACGGTAGCACCCCAAACTATAAGATTTGATGCCTGTCAGGTTTTACCTTGTGGGAATTTAGAAAATCAGAGACAGCTCTCGCAGGCAGATAAATCTCTTTGCCTTGAACCAGATGCAGGTTGCAGTAGGGCATCACCCTTCCCCAGCTGGGAGGATGTATGGTGCGCTACCCAATTTCAGGGTTGGACAGTAAACATGGTGTGGGTAACTCCAAACTGGAAACCCTTGAAGCATAAACTACCTCTGTCCAAGCGCTCCCCACCAAATAACTGCCAGAATTTAGAATGCCATCCTATACTCATCACCCTTGACAATTCAGCCTTTCTAGACCAAGAACCAAAAGTAGCATCTCAGGTATATGGGTTAGGAGAAGACATCACAAGGAAAGACCCCCAGGTCGATTTGATCTCAGGCTAATCAAGAACTCAACCTCCCATTTGCCTGGAACTACTCCAACCCCAGACCCTAATAAACACTTTAGTCTACCAAATATTAACCCTAAAATGGTAACAATAATTGAGGTAAAGGATTTAAGGCAAACCTTAGAAATTGAGACAGGGTATAGGGATGTGAATGCCTGGGTCAAATGGGTCATATTTTCGGTACAAGCCCTCAGCAAAAGTAACTGCTACGCGTGTGCTGCAGGACCACCTCAGGCGCAGGTGGTTCCGTTTCCCCTGGGATGGAATAGTGATTCTAGAGGAATGTGTTGCATGTTGGCTGCATACCAGCACAATGATATAAGTAAGGAGAAGTAAGACTTGTAAGAGTCTTTCATTGCTGTTTCCTGCATTGCGGAGCTCAGATCCCAGAGCAATACCCTCGTTCTCTGCAGAGAACATGAACTACTCCTCTTGCCTCTCTAGACAGGGGGCAGAGTTCCATAAGCCTATGGGAGAACTCTCAACTTGTACCCACATCCTAAACGTCACTGGTGAGTTGAGCAATGGCAATTACTCAGCTCTCCATACACCCCGGGCTGATGTCTGGTAGTATTATGGGAAAAGGAACCTACGTAACCTGTTACTGTCCAATGGGACCAGGACTTGTGCTTTAGTCTCATTGGCCATTCCCTTCACCCTGGCATCCCATAAGATACCCCAAAATACACATGGCCACTGAAACCAGAGAGATTTCACAAATTCTTTTAATCCCAATGTGTATGTTGACTCAATAGGAGACCCTGGTGGGGGTAGGGTTGCCTAATAAATTGAAGGCCTGAAACGCAGTAGGTGCTGGGTTTAAAGTCAGGACACTTCTGCTGGTCAACTATTAAGAAGAATGCGAATTAAATTAACTCCATCTATTATAATCAACAGGAATTCATCAATTATACTTGGGATGCCCTCAAAGGGTGGCTAGCCAGTTAGATGCCACCAGCTAAATGGCCTGGGAAAACAGACTTGCGCTAGACATGATACTAGAGAAAAAGGGAGCGTGTGTGTTATGCTGGGCGGGAAATTTTGTACTTTCATTCCCAGCAATACTGCCCCAAATGGGACCATCACAAAAGCTTTACAAGGACTAACAACTCTAGCCAACGAACTGGAAGAAATGCTCGGAATTAATGACCCATTTACGGGTTGGCTAGAAGGCTGATTTGGAAAATGGAAAGGAATGGTAGCTTCAATCCTTATATCTCTCATAATTGTGGCAGGATTCTTAATAGCAGTGGAATGTTGTATTATCCCTTGTGTGAGGGGACTAGCACAGAAATTAATTAAAACAGCTATTAATAAACAAATGCCCATGACTTACCAGCAAAATAACCTGCCACTATTAGAAAGCAAATTAAACTCACTCTCCTATGAGGAAGAAAGTAAACAACTTCTGGAGCGATTCACGGCCCAAAAGGGTTTAAAAGAAAATGAGAACAAAATAAGTAAATAGAAAAGAGGAGGGAATTGGTGAGAAAACCTTTTAAATGGTCCATTTGCAAGGCATGATAAGTCTAAGCACTGGCAGCCAGCCTGCAAATGTAAGAAACCACATGGCTCATGCACCCAGAAGGTCACAGTAAGTGGACAGAATGTAGAGGTGTGGTCAGCTCATAAAAGGGAAGAAAGTTTTGTTATGGGGAAATCAAAACTTAAGTGGGGAAGAGGACGGGGTATAACTTTGTAAGGGGGATAATGAAAGTTAGGCGATGTCCGGGAAGATTGTAACCCCACAGTACTCAACCAGTGAGGAACTGGGGGAGGGACTTGTGTGCTAGGACATAAATTACCCGTTGTGACCGCCCTGGTTGTGCCTGCTCACCAGACACCCGATCTCGCAAGACCGTTATGAAAAGTCTCCCTTTCGCTGTTCTTTGTGCCTCTAAGTCCATTCTTTGGGTTTGGATGGGTGAGTGTGTTTCTCACAAATGCACCACTGCACCCCTGCCTAGGTGACAGAGACAGACTGTGTCTCAAAAAAATGAAAATATCAGGGAACTCAATGCAAAAGACTGCGGCGCTTTAGACTTGAGAGTAACCTGCCCATGACCCTTGGGGCTCCGTGAGGAAGACAAAAGACCCCCAAAAGGAGGGTGTATGGCACCTTTTTCTGGTTTCTCAAGGGGTCTCAGGACTGCTAGAAGTTCCCTCTTGATTTCTTCGTGTGTTATTGAAGGTGGCAGAAAGGAAGAAGGGCCAACAGTAAATGGGAAAACAATTCTTAGAGGGCTCAATTTGGGAAGATTTTAAACTTCCCAAAAAGGCCAAGGATGTTTTACATTTTTCTCAGTAAAAATCATGCCGACAACAACAACAACAAAAAAGTGAACAGATGGAAGGAACATAAAATTGCTTTTTAACAAAATTTCAGTTGACTGAAAAGAATTCCCAGGGTAGGAACAGGATCCAAAGAGAAAAAGCATTGCTCTATATATCTGCCAGGGAAAAATCCCCCAAAAACTAAAAGAAAAAAGAAAAAGCAGAAGGGTGTGTTGAAAATACACAAGCAGCAAGCTTTCTGTTTCATGAGCACGTGGCCTAACACTGGAGTGGAAAGAATTTCGGCTGTGGAGCGCTCCCACCCGCTCTGCTCATGGGAGGAGCCCTGCCTCTCTTCAGCTTCCCAGCAGTGGTGGGAGACACACGTCTCTTCTGCCCACGGGAGGAAGCGAGACAAAAGAAAAAAGTTGCTATCACACTCTAAATACAAACCAGTTTTCTATCAAAGGTATACCTGAACAAATGACTCAACGCCAAGTGAAATAAGCACCAAGGAGACCAGAACCAAGAAGCCTTTCACGGCTTTCACCAAGGTCTCCAGAGAGGAGGCAAAAGTTGCAACCCTGCTCAGATCCAGACCACTCCAGGCAGCTCAAATAAAGGAGAATTTTAGTAGCTGCAAATGGGGCTACTGTCTGGCCATATTATCTAGGGTTTCAGCCTCTCAGCTGGCTGACTGCACACAAAGGCCTGACAACCCGTATCTCCCACAGACGGAAGATTGCATGGCAGTTTGTAAGATGGGAAGTCAAAAGCTGTCTGTGGGAATAGACAGGATTGCAAAGTGAAAGGGTACCCCAAAAGGTCAGAGTTATGCAAATACCAAACTAACTTTTTACAAATGTTTCTATTTGTTTTGTCCTGAGTTAAAAGATTTGCATTTCCAAGAGTCTGGTTTCCTGACTGGGAATCAAATCCAGGCTGTGGTGGTGAAAGCATGGAACCCAGGCCCTAGATTAGGGTGGCCCGTCTTCTTTGTAAATCCCAGGGGGATCCAAAACAGGCAGCTTGGGCGCACTATATATATATATATATATATATATATATATATATATATATATATATGTGACATATATATTATATATGTGACATATATATTATATATGTGATATATATATTATATATGTGACATATATATTATATGTGATATATATTATACATATATAACATATACATGTTAGAAATATATATTTTTTATATCATATATATATATTTGTTTGAGACAAAGTCTCGTTCTGTCACCCAGGCTGGCGTGCAGTGTGGTGTGCTCATGGTTTACTGCAGCCTCAACCTCCTAGGCTCAAGCAGTCCTCCTGCCTACCCCTGGCTGAGTAGCTGGGACCACAGGCGTGTGTCACGATGCCTGACTCATTTATTTGTTTATTTATTTTGTAGAGATGGGATCTCCCTATGTTGCCCAGTCTGTTCTCAAACTCCTAGGCTCAAGCAAGCCTTCCTTGACCTCCCGAAGTGTTGGGATTACAGGCATAAATCAGTGAATCCAGCTACACAAAGGATTTATAACTTAGTTGTAAATCTGATTTCTGCCTTAAAAAAAGAAATCCTGCTAAGGGAGTTTCTAAGGCTATATATTCCTTTTGTGTCTTTTCATAGGTACCAATAAGAAAGCTGTTTAAGACAAGAGCTCTTAGTGGCCGGGCGCGGTGGCTCACATCTGTAATCCCAGCACTTTGGGAGGCTGAGGCAGATGGATCACCTGAGGTCAGCAGTTCGAGGCCAGCTAGCCAAGATGGTGAAACCCTGTCTCCACTAAAAATACAAAAAAAAAAAAAAAAAAATTACCTGGGCATAGTGGTGCGCACCTGTAATCTCAGCCACTGGGGAGGCTGAGGCAGGAGAATTGCTTGAACCCGGGAGGCTGAAGTTGCAGTGAGCAGAGATTGCGCCACTGCAGTCCAGCCTGGGCGACAGAGTGAGACCTTGTCTCAAAAAAAAAAAAAAAAGAGACAAGAGCTCTCTAAAAAGTTTTCTTTTAAAATATAACTTTTTAACTTATTTATTATGTTTTTTCAAAATTTCAACTTTTATTTTAGATTCAGGGGATACATGTGTGGATTTGTTACATGGGTATATTGCATGATGCTGAGGTTTGGGGTGCAAAGCATCCTTTCACCCAGGTAGTGAGGATAGTACCCGATAGGTACTTTTTCAACTCTTGTCCCCCTCTCCCTCCACCTCTCCCCTTCTCCTCTCCCCCTCTCTCTCTCTCCCCTTCTCCTCTCCCCCTCTCTCACTCTCCCCTTCTCCTCTCCCCTCTCTCACTCTCCCCTTCTCCTCTCCCCTCTCTCACTCTCCCCTTCTCCTCTCCCCCTCTCTCTCTCTCCCCTTCTCCTCTCCCCCTCTCTCACTCTCCCCTTCTCCTCTCCCCTCTCTCACTCTCCTACTTTCCTACTCTCCCTGCTCTAGCAGGTCCCAGTGACTATTGTTTCCATCTTTATGTCCATGTGTATCCAACGTTTAGCTTCCGCTTATAAGTGAGAATGTGGCCGGGTGCGGTGGCTCACGCCTGTAATCCCAGCACTTTGGGAGGCAAAGGCAGGCGGATCACCTGAGATTGGGAGTTCAAGACCAGCCTGACCAACATGGAGAAACCTTGTCTCTACTAAAAATACAAAACTAGCCAGGCGTAGTGGCGCATGCCTGTAGTCCCAGCTAGTTGGGAGGCTGAGGCAGGAGAATCACTTGAACCTGGGAGGCCGAGGTTGCAGTGAGCCGAGATCACACCATTGTACTCCAGCCTGGGTAACAAGAGTGAAACTCCGTCTCAAAAAAAAGAAAAAAAATGTGAGAACATGCAGTATTTGATTTTCTGTTTCTGCGTTAGTTCACTTAAGATAATGGCCTCCAGCTGCATCCACATTGCTGCAAAGAACACAGTTTTGTTGCTTTTTATGGCTGTGTCGTATTCCGTAGTGTATACGTACCACATTTTATCCAATCCACTGTTGATGGGCACCTAGGTTGATTCCAGCCAATTTATTTATTCCATAAGTGACTCAAACCAATAATCATTTTTTTATGGAAAGTTCTGGAGGTAGCTTTCCAGGTTTAGAAGAGCATAGGTGTTTGTGGTGTATTTAAAATGAATGGGCCGGGTGCGGTGGCTCACGCCTGTAATCCCAGCAATTTGGGAGGCCGAAGCAGGCGGATCACAAGGTCAGGAGATCGAGACCATATTGGCTAACATGGTGAAACCCCATCTCTACTAAAAGTACAAAAAATCAGCTGGGCATGGTGGCAGGCGCCTGTAGTCCCAGCTACTCGGGAGGCTGAGGCAGGAGAATGGCGTGAACCCAGGAGGCGGAGTTTACAGTGAGCCGAGATCATGCCACTGCACTCCAGCCTGGGAGACAGAGCGAGACTCTATCTCAAAAAATAAAATAAAATAAATAAAATAAAATGAGTGCAGAAGATGCACCCCCTCCTATGATCCTTCCCAAAAAACACATTCTCAGAAATAGGCTAAGATAGCCGGGCCTGGTGGCTCACACCTGTATCCTAGCACTTTGGGAGGCTGAGGCAGGTAGGTCACCTGAGGTCAGGAGTTCAAGACCAGCCTGGCCAACATGGTGAAACCCCATCTCTACTGAAAATAACAAAAAATTAGCCAGATGTGGTGGCGCATGCCTGTAATCCCAGCTACTTAGGAGATTGAGGCAGGAGAATCACTTGAACCTGGGAGGCAGAGGTTGCAGTGAGCCGAGATCATGCCACTGCACTCCAGCCTGGTGACAGAGCGAGACTCTGTCTCAAAAAAGAAATAGGCTAAGCTAGCAAGAGGCTTGCTGCCATAGACAGCTAAGGATGGTGTTTACTCATGGGGTGCCTTAAGTATCCCACAAATTTGTGAGAGGCTGCCAGCCACAGACCTGTTAATCTGTGATAACTCCTGTGATTGGACTTTCCCAGGACTAACAGGGACAAACAAGCATTGCCATGACAAAAGTCCCTTATGTATGGGACTTAATACAAATGACCTTGAGTGCTCGGCACATTCAGAGCAGAGTGTGCTGCTTAGTATCTTACTTGTCAGGGGGTTCCCAGTCTTTTTAGACTGGTGATGTGGTTTGGCTGTGCCCCCACCCAAATCTCCACTTGAATTGTATCCCCCAGATTTCCCACGTATTGTGGGAGGGACCCAGGGGGAGGTAATTGAATCATAGGGGGCTGGTCTTTCCCATGCTATTCTCATGATAGTGAATAAGTCTCATGGGATCTGATGGGTTTATCAGGGGTTTCTGCTTCTGTTTCTTCCTCATTTTCTCTTGCCGCCGCCATGGAAGACATGCCTTTCGCCCTCCGCCATGATTCTGAGGCCTCCCCAACCATGCGGAACTGTAAGTCCTATTAAATCTCTTTTTCTTCTCAGTCTCGGGTATGTCTTTGTAAGCAGCATGAAAACAGACTAATATAGTAAATTGGTACCAGTAGAGGGGGGCATTGCTGAAAAGATGCCTGAAAATGTGGAAGCAACTTTGGAACTGGGTAACAGGCAGAGGTTGGAGGGCTCAGAAGAAGCAGGAAAATGTGGGAAAGTTTGGAACTACCTAGAGACTTGTTGAATGGCTTTGACGAAAGTACTGATAGTGATATGAACAATAAGGTCTAGGCTGATGTGGTCTCAGATGGAGATGAGGAACTTGTTGGGAACTGGCTGTTGCCCAGACTGGAGTGCAGTGGTGCCATCTCGGCTCACTGCAACCTCCGCCTCCTAAGTTCAAGCAATTCTCCTGCCTCTGCCTCCCGAGTACCTGGGATTACAGGTGTGCGCCACCATTCCCCGCTAATTTTTCTATTTTTAGTAGAGACTGTGTTTTGCCATGTTAGCCAGGCTGTTTTCAAACTCCTGACCTCAGGTGATCCACCCACGTTGGCCTCCCAAAGTGCAGGGATTACAGGCGTGAGCCACCGAGTCTGGCTGACTCTTGTTATGTTTTAGCAAAGAGAATGAAGGCACTTTGCCCCTGCCCTAGAGATTTGTGGAACTTTGAACTTGAGAGAGATGGTTTAGGGTATCTGATGGAAAAAATTTCTAAGCAGCAAAGCATTCCAGAGGTGACTTGGGTGCTGCTAAAAGCCTTCAGTTTTAAAAGGGAAACAGAGCATGAAAGTTTGGAAAATTCGTGGCCTGACAATGTAAGAGAAAAGAAAAACCCATTTTCTGGGGAGAAATTCAAGCTGGCTACAGAAATTTGCAAGTAAGTAGCAAGGAGCCTAATGTTAATCCCCAAGACCATGGGGAAAATGTCTCCAGGCCATGTCAGAGACCTTTATGGCAGCCCCTCCCATCACAGGCCTGGAGGCCCAGAGGAAAAAGTGGTTTTGTGGGCTAGGCCCAGTGTCTCCAGGCTGTGTGCAGCCTGGGGACTTGGTGCCCTGTGTCCCAGCTGAAAGAGACCAATGTACAGCTCAGGCTGTGGCTTCAGAGGGTAGAAGAGGGTGGAAGCCCCAAGCTTTGGCAGCTTCCATGTGGTGTTGAGCCTGTGGGTGCACAGAAGTCAAGAATTGAGGTTTGAGAACCTCTGCCTAGATTTCAAAGGGCATATGGAAATGCCTGGATGCCCAGGCAGAAGTTTGCTGCAGGGGTGGGGCCCCGATGGAGAACCTATGCTAGGGCAATGCAGAAGGGAAATGTGGGGTGGGAGCCCCCACACAGAGTCCCTACTGGGGCACCACCTAGTGAAGCTGTGAGAAAAGGGCTACCATCCTCCAGACCTCAGAATGCTAGATCCACCAACACCTTCCACCATGCACCTGGAAAAGCTGCAGACACTCAACACCATCCTATGAAAGCAGCCGGGAGGGAGGCTGTATCCTGCAAAGCCACAGAGGCAGAGCTGCCCAAGACCATGGGAACCCACCACTTGCAGTAGTGTGACCTGGATGTGAGACCTGGAGTCAAAGGAGATCATTTTGGGAGCTTTAAAATTTGACTGCCTTGCTGGATTTCAGACTTGAATGGGCCCTGTAACCCCTTTGTTTTGGCCAATTTCCCCCATTTGGAACGGCTGTATTCACCCAATACCAGTACCCCCATTGTATCTAGGAAGTAACCAGTTGACTTTTGATTTTACAGGCTCATAGGTGGAAGGGACTTTCCTTTTCTCAGATGAGGCTTTGGACTATGGACTTTTGGGTTAATGCTGAAATGAGTTAAGACTTTGGGGGACTGTTGGGAAGGCATGATTGGTTTTGAAATGTGAGGACATGAGATTTGGAGCCACCAGGGGTGGAATGATATGGTTTTGCCATGCCTCTACCCAAATCTTAACTTGAATTGTACCTCTCAGATTTCCCACATGTTGTGGGAGGGACCCAAGGGGAAGTAATTGAATCACGGGGGCTGGTCTTTTCAATGCTATTCTCGTGATAGTGAATAAGTCTCACAAGATCTGATGGATTTATCAGGGGTTTCTACTTTTGCTTCTTCCTCATTTTCTCTTGCTGCTGCCATGTAAGAAGTGGCTTTTGCCCTTTGCCATGATTCTGAGGCTTCCCCAGCCCATGTGGAACTGTAAGTCCAATTAAACCTCTTTTTCTTCCCAGTCTTGGGTATGTCTTTGTAAGCAGAGTGAAAATGGACTAATACAACTGACCAACACACATGACCCAAAAGTCCCAAAAGTCATGCCACTCCCCCAACCACTCCCCGGGTTGGTAGAGACCAAGCAAGAGTGCTCCCCACTTGGTCACAAGTCAGGCTCTTGAGAGCCTGACATAAAAGATATTAAGCAAGATGAGAGGGAATCTTTATGACAGCAAGACAGAGACACAGGAAAAAAAAGAATGTTTCTGAAAGGAAAAAGATCAGACAACATGAAATAGTCATACCAAAAATAAACCAGCGTTTGTGTGTCTAAAATTAGCCTGTATAAATGCTTTTCTTGGCTGGGTGCAGTGGCTCACCCTGTAATTCCAGTACTTTGGGAGGCCAAGGCAGGAGGATTCCTTGAGTCCAGATGTCAGATATATTTGAACAAGAGGGACTCCATCTTGAAGATGGGCTGGGTAAAAAAAAGCTGAGAACTGCTGGGCTCCCAGGAGCTTAGGCATTCTTAGTCACAGGATGAGTTAGGAGGTCAGCACAAGATACAGGTCACAACAACCCCACTGATAAAGCAGGATGTGGTAAAGAAGCCGGCCAAAACCCACCAGAACCAGGATGCTGATGAAAGTGACCTCTGGTAATCCTCACTGCTCATTATGTGATACTTATTATAAGGCATTAGCGTGTTAAAAGACACTCCCACCAGCACCACCACAGTTTACAAATACCATGGCAACATCCAGAAGTTACCCTATATGGTCTGAAAGTGGGGAGGAACCCTCAGTTCCTGGAAATCCAGTCCTCTTTCCCGGAAAACTCATGAATAATTCACCCCTTGTTTAGCATACAATCAAGAAATAACTGTAGGTATACTCGGTTGAGCAGCTCACACCACGGCTGTACCTATGCAGTAGCCATTCTTTTGTTTCTTTTACTTCCCTAATAAACTTGCTTTTACTTTACTCTATGGACTCGCCCTGTATTCTTTCTTGTGGGAGGTCCAGTAACCCTCTCTTGGGGTCTAGATTGGGACCCCTTTCCAGTAACACAGGAGTTTGAGGCCAGCCTCAACAACTGAGACTCCATCTCTACAAAAAAATCAAAAAGTTAGCAGGGAATGGTGGAGTGCACCTATGGTCCCAGCTACACAGGAAGCTGAGGCAGGAGGATCCCTCGAGTCCAGGAGGTTAAGTCTGCAGTGAGCCATGACTGTCCCGCTGCACTCCAGCCTGGGCAACAGAGCTGATTCTAAATAAATAAATAAATTCTTTCTTTCCATTTATCTTAAATTTGGAAAAGGAAAAGGAAACAGTTTTACTGTCTGCTTGATTGGATTGCACAGACAGATGCTGTTTGAAATGTTTCTTCCTTGGTGCGGTAAAGAAATAGCACTTGAACATGAATTTAATTTATTTAGTAAGGCCATTTTTACTTCTTGCAGAAAGGGTACACTCATCAGCAGTTTTGCCATGAGAGTGCATTGAACAAAGGAGACAGGGTCATTTATAACCTGACGCGTCCTCCCTACTGCTGTGTCTGGTTTCCACTGGCTGGAGCGGGACCTCACATTCTGTATTTGTCTCGATTGGCTAGCAACTTAGAACTTTTTAAAAGAGGCAAAGGTAGAGGGGAACAAAGGAAAGAGGAAGTAACTGGTGGAATGCTGAGAAAGGTAAAAACACCTTCAAATAAGGAAGAGGAACAGGCTGTGACCTAATGCTTACTTGGACCAGTATAAGCATGCCAGGGCAGATATTTAGGCTAAATTGTGGGAGCTAAGAACATAAAGAACATTGATTTCTTTATTACGGCTAGCAGATATTTAAGAATGTTAGCACAGGTCTTTGAATAAATTTTGCTTCTAATAGAAGTTACTATTTATTCCTAATTAGATGGGGAGGAAAGTCTTTGAAGAGGAACCTCTACTTTACTTTTTACAGATGCCAAGAATCTAACTACTCCCAAATTCTTCCCCTTCTGCTGGCCTGTCAGGCCCCAGGTTCCTTGGACTCCTGGCTTCAGAAGAGCTAAACAGTTTTGGTGATCCTGCTCACAGCGCCAAATCTGTAGGGGCCAAGAGAAAGCTGCTTCACTCTCTGAAGTTTTGCTGCAAAATCAACTGACAATAGGCAGATTAACAGGGAGATAAGCATACAAAATTTTATTTTAACTCACATAGCATGGGTAATTGTAGGAGAATGATTACTGTGCCACTGGCTTTTTTTTTTTTTTTTTAAGACGGAGTCTCCCTTTGTCGCCAGGCTAGAGTGCAGTGGCGCGATCTCCACTCACTGCAACCTCCGACTCCCTGGTTCAAGTGATTCTCCTGCCTCAGCCTTCTGAGTAGCTGGGACTGCAGGCATGCGCCATTACGCCCAGCTAATTTTTGTATTTTTAGTAGAGACGGGGTTTCACCATGTTGGCCAGGATGGTCTCCATCTCCTGATCTCGTGATCCTTCTGCCTGGACCTCCCAAAGTGCTGGGATTACAGGTGTGAGCCACCGTACCTGGCCCAGTATCTCTTTTGTTACTTGGTTATTTCACTTGGCATAGTGTCCTCAAGATTTATCCCTATTGTCCATATAACAAAATTTTGAATTTTTTTTTTTTGAGACAGAGTCTGGCTCTGTCGCCCAGGCTGGAGTGCAGTGGTGCGATCTCGGCTCACTGCAAGCTCCGCCTCCCGGGTTCACGACATTCTCCTGCCTCAACCTCTGAGTACCTGGGACTACAGGCGCCCGCCACCACGCCCGGCTAATTTTTTGTATTTTTAGTAGAGACGGGGTTTCACCGTGTTAGCCAGGATGGTCTCGATCTCCTGACCTTGTGATCCACCCGCCTTGGGCTCCCAAAGTGCTGGGATTATAGGTGTGAGCCACCGCGCCTGGCCAATTTCGTCTTTTAAAAGCTGAATGAGTATTCAGTTATTTGTGTTTTTCAAATTGTCCTTATCCGTTTTTTCATCGAGGGAGTTTGGTTGCCCCCACTGTATTTTAATGCAAAACAAAAGGAAAATTTCCCAGGTTGAGAGGAGCAGTAAAGCCTGAAGTATCACTCTCTGCCCAGACCTCAGTGGTGGGCTTGCTTTGAGCATTCTTAGGCAGCCCCACTTCCCTTAGGCACTTCCCTTCCCTTTGTTGATTAAAGAAGAAACTGAGGCAAAATTAATATAAGTGGAGTTTATTTGGGCCAAGTTTGAGGACTGTAAGCCGGGAGAGATAGATTCAAGTTGCTCTGAATATATCCTCCAATTAGCAGCAGTTGCAAGTGAGTTTTTAAAGGATGAAAGAGGCAGTTCCTCAGCTGTTTATAAAAAATTTACATTAAAATAACATAAGCTATTGGTTAGCTATACATTTTTCTTTGTATCACAAACGCTAGCAACATGGAGATAATAGGTGATGCAGCTAGTCAGGAACAAAATGCCTTTAAACAACTGCCCCCGCCTTGCCCCCGCCCCCCCATACTGCTGTCTCTCTGAGCCTGATAAATTTTGTATGCCTCCCGGGGAATTGTTTGAACCCGGGAGGCAGGGGCTGCAGAGAGCCTCGATTACATCACTGCGCTCCAGCCTAGGTCACAGAGCAAGACTCTGTCTCAAAATAAATAAATAAATAAATGTTGTATGCCTTACATAACTCAGAATGTTCTCAGCTACTCTCTCTTCTCACCTCCAGGAATGGGAAAGTGAAGATGCACTCCCAGTGGAGGAGGGTTTATTATGGCTCCAAGCACAGTGTCTGCTCTTACTACTCATTAGCAGTCGTGTAGCCTATTCTAAAATTAAAGTGTCTCGAGTGGGACAAATCCTGAAAAGAATGTTTTTTACAAGTAATGTGCTGCTACTGGGGATTCTGGGGTGATCCATCCTGGGACAGTCATCCTCTGCACCCTGTCTGGCCTGGGGCCAAGGAGTGATCTTGAGCAGTCACTGCAGTGGCTAACCCTGGAATCTAAGGCCTGCCCAGAATGCACATCCAGAAGCCCTAGAATGCGGGGGAAAAAGCCGTATTTGCACATCCAGAAGCCCTAGAATGCGGGGGGAAAAGCCGTATTTGCACATCCAGAAGCCCTAGAATGTGGGCGACAAAACCGTATTTGTGCTTCTGTTACTGGAAAGGGGTCCCAATCCAGACCCTAAGAGAGGGTTTTTGGATCTCGCACAAGAAAGAATTAGGGTGACTCTGTAAAGTGAAAGCAAGTTTATCAAGAAAGTAAAGGAATAAAGATTGGCTTCTCCACAGACAGAGCAGCCCCAAGGGCTGCTGCCTGCCCATTTTGATGATTATTTCTTGATGATATGCTAAACGAGGGGTGGATTATTCATGTCTCCCCTTTTTGGACCATACCGGGTGACTTCCTGAGGTTGCCATGGCGTTTGTAAACTGTCATGGCGCTGGCGGGAGTGTAGCAAGGAGGACAACCAGAGGTCACTCTCGTGGCCATCTTGGTTTTGGTAGGATTTGTCCGGCTTTTTTACTGCAACCTGTTTTATTAGCAAGGTCTTTATGACCTGTATCGTGTGCCTACCCCCTATCTCATCCTGTGACTTAGAAAGCCTTAACTGTCTGGGAGTGCAGCCTTCCAGGTCTCAGCCTCAATTTACCCAGCCCATGTTCAAGATGGAATTGCTCTGGTTCCAATGCCTGTCACAATTCTGCGGTATTCCAGCCGTGCAGGTGCTGCGGAGACGTGGCGTCCATTCCCGGGACTAGTGGGAACACGCACATGCACATTTAGTAAAGGGTGACCGTGGAGAGGCACAGGCCCTGTTTTTTTTTTGTTTGTTTTTTGAGACACGGTCTCGCTTAGTTGCCCAGGCTGGGGTGCAGTGGCGCGATCTTGGCTCACTGTAACCCCCACCTCCTGGGTTCAAGCGATTCGCATGTTCCTGGCCTCGTGTGATCCACCCGCCTTGGCCTCCCAAAGTACTGAGATCGCAGGCCTGAGCCTGTGATCCGGTCGCTCCTGTCGTTTTGTTTGTTTGTTTGTTGTTGTTTGTTCGTTTTTGTCGCCCAGAGCTGGAGTACAATGGCACAATCTCAGCTGACTGCAACCTCCGCCTCCCGGCTTCAAGCAGTGCTCCTGCCTCAGCCTCCCGAGTAGCTGGGATTACAGGCGCGCGCCACCACACCCGGCTAATTTTTGTATTTTTAGTAGAGACGGGGTTTTACCATGTTGGCCAGGCTGGTCTCAAACTCCTAACCTCGTGATCCGCCCGCCTCGGCCTCCCAAAGTGCTGGGATTACAGGCGTGAGCCGCTGCGCTCAGCCCACTATGGTCGTTCTTAAAACAAATTGCAAGGTCATGCGTTTTCCTCCCAGAAGAGTGATAGACCCATCCCTGGCACTGCCAAATTTAGCTGGAGCTGAATTGTTCCGCAAGTTGTACTTGGCTGTGACCACCAGAGGGCGCCGAGGACAGTACGGACGCCGTCAGCGTCTCGGTCACATCCTTCCGTGTCCAGCTAGAAAATGAATGGGAAACCCGGGCACTGAGGCTCACGCCTGTAATCCAGCACTGCAGGGGGCGAGGCGGGCGGGTCACTCGAATTTAGGAGTTTGAGACCAGCCTGGGCAACATGGTGAAGCCCCATCTCTACTGACAGTACAAAAAAAATATGCCGGGCGCGGTGGCTCACGCCTGTAATCCCAGCCTAGGCGGGCGAATCACCTGAGGTCAGGAGTTCGAGACCAGCCTGGCCAAAATGGTGAAACCCTGTCTCTACTAAAAATACAAAAATTAGGCCGGGCGTGGTGGCTCACGCCTATAATCCCAGTACTTTGGGAGGCCGAGGTGGGCGGATCACGAGGTCAGGAGTTCAAGACCAGCCTGACCCACATGGTGAAACCCCATCTCTACTAAAAATACAAAAAAAATTAGCCGGGTGTGGTGGCATGTGCCTGTAATCGCAGCTACTCAGGAGGCTGAGGCAGGAGAATCGCTTGAACCCAGGAGGCGGAGGTTGCAGTGAGCTGAGATAGTGCCATTGCACTCCAGCCTGGGCGACATAGCGAGACTCCATCTCAAAAAAAAAAAAAAAAAAAAAAAAAAAAAATATATATATATATATATTTAGCCGGGCGTGGTGGCGCGCGCCTGTAATCCCAGCTACTCCCGAAGCTGAGGCAGGAGAATCGCTTGAGCCCGGGGGCGAAGGTTGCAGTGAGCCGAGATCGCGCCACTGCACTCCAGCCTGGGCAACCGGGTGAGACTCCGTCTCAAAGAAAAAAAAAAAAAAGAAAAAATGAAACGAATCGGGGCGTGTTACATCTCGAAGCCTGGCTTCTTTAACAGCTTCCCCAGCGCCCCAGTCTATGTTACTGGGAGTGTGAAAGCGACCAGCCCTGCAGAGGCTTCCCCGCGCCCCGCGCCCCGCGCCCCTCGCCAACCCCCGGTGCGAGCCCAGGGCACCGAGCCCCGCAGCCGCTCAGGCCCACCCGGTGCCTGCAGCCAGCGCACACTGGGTGCTGGGACCAGCACTGAGCGCCTTTTCTGTTTTTTCTTACAAGGTTGGGTTTCAGCCGAGCAAGTCTGAGGCCCCTTTCCCGCGCCCTCTGGTGGAAAGTGTTCGCTTTTCTGTCCACCCATGTGAAGGATTCACCCCGACCCTCCTCAGGTGGCCTTTACTTTGCAGGAGCAAAGCAAGGTACGGGACATTGTTCCCTCTTTTCTGTTTCTGCCTTTTCTTTCTCCTCTGCCCCCTCCCCGCCTCCGTATTCCTCCCTCTTCCTCATTATTTCTTCTTCCTTCTTCCTATTGAATTTGGGATTGAAAAGTTTGAAGCTCCTAAAGGAGGCCAGCCAGCTGGTTGGCCTCCGTCTTGCTGACTTTGGGCAGTATCATGGCTTTGTTTAGAGTTGGTTGTGAGAAGGAAATAAACCATAACACTTCGGTACATGTGTGTTATTTGTTGATACACAGGCGCACACACACAAATGTGAATGGGCGCTTATATATCATTATTTCCCTCTCGATATATCTTTATCTATATTTAGATATTTTGGAGGCATACCTTTTATCCAGGATGGCTCTGTTCGCAGAGGGTTGAACTGTGGACGAGGCATCTCGGTTTTTTGCTTTTGCAGTTTACATTGTGTGTGGTGGGGTACATGTCTGTATTATCTGCACAAAAATTAAAACAATTTTTAAAAAATTTCAGTTGGATGAGGAGATACATGTATGTGGCACACAGCTTTCTTCACTTAGCAACACGTCAGATGCAGCGTAGATGTGCGGATGAAACCACCATTGCAAAATTATCACTGAGACAGTCAGAGAAACCTGACATGGCTGACTCCATGTTGCTTTTAGCCTCACAGGCTGGCTCTCTTAGCTCATTCCTAAGCATGGGCCTGAAACTGCCATTGCAAAATCGTAACTGAGACAGCAAAAGAGACTTGACCTAACCAACTCCATCTTGCTTCTAACCTCCAAGCTGTCCTTGTTCATTCCTGGGTGTAGGCTGAACTAACTTTGGGAGGAACTTAATTTATAGTTTAAAACAAAGACGATAAGACGATAACAGCCCTTTCTCAAAACAAACATCCTTCCTGACTGGGGACTAGACTGCCTTTGTAGGATTAACAAATTAGCCACAAGATCAGAAATTATAGTTTAGGAGTCATGCAGCTGGAGGCTCTAAGATTGTGACCCTCCCTAAACCGCTCAGTGCTTGAGATGTTTTACAGACCCTGCACTTAATGGATCAGCTGGCACCACCCAGATGGATAAACTGGCTCATGTGATCTTGTGGCCCCCACCCAGGAACTGACTCAGTGCAAGAAGACAACTTCAATTCCCTATGATTTAATGTCCTACCGAATCAATCAGCACTCCTGACACACTGGCTTCCCCTCACCCACCAAATTGTCCTTAAAACCTCTGATCTCCAAATGCTTGAGGAGACTGATTTGAGTAATAATAAAACAAGGCTCCTGCACAGCCGGCTCTGCGCGAATTACTCTTTCTCTACTGCAGTTCTCCTGTCATGATAAATCGGCTCCATCTAGGCAGCCAGCAAGGTGAACCCACTGGGTGGTTACAGGCCACGCTAAGTTCGGGAGAAATTTAGTTTATGGTTTAAATGATAACAGCCCTTCCCCAAAACTAAACTGCCCTGGTAAAACTAATGAAAGGCCGCCAAGTTAGGAGGATGACAGGGGCCTGAATTCTACTGAGCCGTAAGCGTAATTACCGGCCATTATTCCAGAGGACACAAGATTTGCAACTTGCCTAATTACTCCTGCAAAGAACATCGCTACTGTAGCACCTGAGAATGGCCTTTTGAGATGTGTTTTCAGGCTTTTGCACTTCTGACAACTGATGGCTGCACTTGGACTCGCCAGCCGGTCCCGCGTCCCCACCAGAAGCAGAGTAAGCACAAGAGGACAGCTCCGACTCCCTAGGATTTCAGCTCTGACCAGTCGCACGCCTGGCTCACTGGCTTCCCCACACCCACCAAGTTGTTCTTAAAAACTCTGCTGCCCGAATGCTCAGGGAGAGTGATTTGAGTAATAATGAAACTGTTGTCTCCTGCACAGTCGGCTCTGCGTGAATTACTCTTTCTCTATTGCAATTCCGCTCTCTTGAGAAATCGGCTCTGTCCAGGCAGCAGCAAGGTGAAGCCACTGGGCGGTTACACTGATATGATTCCCCCTTTGCAGTTTTTACTCTCTTGGTGCTGCAAACAGTTCCTCACTGAGGACCCTTGTACACGTATCACTGTGAGCATGAATCCGAATTTCTTTAGGAGACATACATACTAGTGGGTATGTGCATGTTATGTAATTTCTCTTAGCACTGTTTCCTCACTCATCAAATAAGGATCAAGTAGTTCTCACCACACAGGGTTATTTTAGAAATAATTTAGTATACATAATATACAATGCAATAACAAGTACTGATGTCTACTTCTTTTAGGTTATATGATAATACCTTATACATAGTACATGTGTGATTATATATATTGCAATGTAGAGTACGATCTATAATTTACAGAACTGTTGTTTATATATAACAAATGCTGTCCTTGCGATAGTTTGCTCAGAATGATGGTTTATGTATACATATGTAACAAACCTGCACGTTGTGCACACGTACCCTAGAACTTAAAGTATAATTTTAAAAAATGCTATAATTCATGTGGTGATTATTATCTACCAGTTACATCATCGATAGAATGAGGACGTTGTTAACGGTACACGCCAGACAGGATGGCTGTGAGGATCTGTGATAATAAGAATTAGATATTTGGTCTTTGTCCCTGTTTCCTGATGGAGGCTTCTAAACCCCTTGGAATTCCCTGACTGATAGGGGCAAGAGGAAATCTTTTGTTATTCCTAACGAGCCCCTTTCATCCATGCCTGTGTTTATGCTAATGAGGTGACTCCTGGAGGATGAGGGCTGGTTGCCAGGGGAATCAACTTTGCCTTGCAACTTTCAGCTCCAGTCCGTGACTTCCAGGGAAAGAACAGGGGCTGGAGATTGAGTTTAATCGCCAATGACCAGTGATTTGATCATTCATGCTTAAATAATGGAACCATAAGAAACCTAAAGAAAAGGTTTGGAGAGCTGCTGGGTTCAGGAGCACATTCGTGTGCTGGGAGGGTGTTGTGCCTGGTGAAGGTGTGGAAGCGCTGACTCTGCCTCGCATACCTTGTCCTGTCTGTGTCTTTCATCTGGCTGTTGCTGAGTTGTGCTGTTTATAATAATAAACTGGTAACAGGAAGTAAAGCACTTTCCTGAGTTTTGTGAGCCCATTCTCTTGATTTACCAAACCTGAGATAGAGGGATTGTGTGTGGGAACCCTTGAATTTATAGCTGGTCAGTCAAAAGTGCTGGTTAACAAACCTGGAACTTCCATGAAGTGGGGGCAGTTTTGTGGGACCAAGCCCATAACCTGTGGGATTTCACTCTAGCTCCAGGTAGACATGTCAGAATTGAATTGTAGGATACCTAGTTGGTGCCTGCTGTGTAGAAGAAAAAAACCCACAGGTTTGGTGTCAGATGTGTTGTGAGTAAAACTGTTACAGGAAAGCGGTCTCTGTCCAGACCCCAAGTGAGGGTTATTGGATCTCGCGCAAGAAATAATTCAGGGTGAGTCCATAGAGTAAAGTGAAAGCAAGTTTTTTAGGAAAGTAAAGGAACAAAAGAATGGCTACTCCATAGACAGAGCAGCCCTGAGGGCTGTGGGTTGCCCATTTTTACGGTTATTTCTTGATTATATGCTAAACAAGGGGTGGATTATTCATGCCTCCCCTTTTTAGACCATATAGGGTAACTTCCTGACATTGCCATGGCATTTGTAAACTGTCATGGTGCCGGCGGGAGTGTAGCAGTGAGGACGACCAGAGGTCACTCTCATAGCCATCTTGGGTTTAGTGGGATTTGGCCGGCTCCTTTACTGCAAACTGTTTTATCAGCAAGGTCTTTATGACCTGTATCTTGTGCCGACCTCCTATCTCATCCTGTGACTTAGAATGCCTTAACCATCTAGGAATGCAGCCAAGTAGGCCTCAGCCTCATTTTACCCAGCCCATTCGAGATGGAGTAGTTCTGGTTCGCATGCCTCTGACAAAGCCAGTTCAGAGAATTAAGTAGGGTGATGTTTACAAAGTGCCTTGCATACCTCTTGGACATAATTTTTCATAAGGATTGAATTAACATTATCAAGAAAAATGAATCAAGTTCATTTTAACTAGTGCATATAAATCTGATAGGCATTGATTGTGCACCTATTTGCAAAGCATGGTGCTGATCCCTGGAAGAGACGGGACAAGGAGGCAACTGTATGTAGGGTGCCCTGTGAGTGTGCATATAAGAGGCGTGGATTAGGACAGACACATATTGAGGGAAGAGCATGTGAGGACACAGCAAGAGGGTGGCCATCTACCAGTAAAGGGGAGAGGCCTCAGAAGAAACCAAACTTCCAGTAACGTGATTATTTTAACAGGGACAACAGATGGCTCTGGGTGGTTCCAGGCACCATGACTGACAGATTTGGAGGTGGAGGGGTGTTTCCAGGAGAACAGAGGAGGCTGTCTATCATCCTGAGGCTCTTGGACAGGAGCTGAGAAGTACAAAAGCACCCTCTGTCAGGGAAGGGATGTCGGCAGCTTGGCTCTTGTTATGGCAGTGGTAAGGGAGCTGATGGGAGAACACCTTCGCATAAAGCAAACAGAACACTTGCAATGTGAATGGAGAACCTTACTGATATGAATAATTTCAACATTTGGAGGTATAACATAGACACCCGAAACCTGGAGAGTAAAGAGCACGCTAGCATCACGTGCGGCCAACCTGGCCACGAGCTGCTCTCCCCGCCCTCCCCGCACACGTGTCCCTTCAGGGAGGGAGAGGAAGGTCATGACCTGGCTGCGCTGCTCGCCCCACACACGTGTCCCTTCACGGAGGGAGGAGGAAGGTCGTGCGATGCAGGTGTTGCTCCTTGCGTCATTCCCTGAGCTCCCTTTGTGTGTCAAGCAATCTGGGCACTGGGTACGCAGAGATGAATATACTGGGGCCCATGGACCCGAGGCCATGGACTAGTTGGGGGCCAGACATAAACAAATACAATGTGGGACATAACCCCATCCAAGAGCGCACAAAAACACAATGGCCGCCGAGGAGCAAGCCCTTCTTGTCCTGCCTCCAAAAGCCAACTCTGGTTTCTTTTTTTTCTTTTTTCTTTTCTTTTTTTTTTTTTTTGAGACAGCGTCTCACCCTGTCCCTCAGACTGGAGTGCAGTGGCACGATCTTGGCTCACTGCAACCTCCCGGGTTCAAACACTTGTCCCGCCTCAGCCCCTGAGTAGCTGGGATTACAGGCACGCGCCACCACACCCAGCTAATTTTTGTATTTTTAGTAGAGACAGGGTTTTCTCATTTTGGCCAGGCTGGTTTCGAACTCCTGACCTCAGGTGATCCGCCTGCCTTGGCCTCCATAGTGCTGGGGTTACAGGCGTGAGCCACCGCACCCCGCCGCCAACTCTAGTTTCTAAAATATTTTAATATCTGCAGGGATTACTTTTTCATCTTTACACTTCCTTTTCAGAGTTTTCTGGCTTTTCTCACATTATTCTGTGTAGTTCTCCCTTTTCTCCCCCAACTATGTTAACTATTTAGATTAACTGGGGGAGAAATATCAGATTTCTGGGACTGAGCTGATATGGTTTGGATCTGTGTCCCTACCAAATCTCCTGTTGAATTGTAATCCCCGATATTGGAGGTGGGGCCTGGTGAGAGATGATTGGATCATGGGGGAGGAGTTCTGATAAATGGTTTGACACCATCCCCTCGGTACTGTCTTCGAGATCCTGAGTTTTCATGAGGTCTGGTCATTTAAAAGTGTGTGGCACCTCCCCCTCACACTTTCTTGCTCCTGCTTTGGCCATATGGTGTGTGTGCTCCCCCTTTGACTTCTGTCATGATTGTAAATTTCCTGAGGCTTCCCCAGAAGCTAAGCAGATGCCAGCAGTATGCCTCCTGTACAGCCTGCAGGACCGTGAGCCAATTATACGTCTTTTCTTTATCAATTAGCCAGTCTCAGGTATTTCTTTAGAGCAAGGCAAGAACAGTCTAATACATGAGACTTCTTAGCCTAGGGCATGGTTTATCTCAGCCTTTGTTCAAGCTTTCTTTGGTGACTCTCAGTACTTAAAACATTTCTTCATATAGATCTTGCACATTTCTTGTTAAGTAAATGTCTAGGTGGCATTTCATATTTTTGTTCGATTTCATAAAAGTAGTTTTCCTCCTTTCAACCTTTAACTTTTTTTAATTTTAAAATTTTATTTTTATTTTTTGACAAATTTTAATTATATAACCATATATAATTATGGGGTACACAGTGATGTTACTATATGTATACAGTGTGTAATTATTGAATCAAGCTAATTACTGTATTCATCACCTTAAATACTTATCATTTATCCTTCTTGTCTAACTGCAACTTTTTTTGAGTTAGAGGGCGGGGTCTTGCTTTGTTGCCATGCCTAGAGTGCAATGGTGGATGCAATCATCTCTAGTGAACTGAAGCCCCAAACCCTGGGCTCAAGCAATCTTCCCACCTCAGTCTCTCAAGTAGCTAGGACTACAGGCACATGACACCACACCAGGTCCATTTTTGAAATTTTTTGTAGAGAGAAGTTCTCAGTTGTTGCCCAGGCTCAAGTGATCCTCCTGCCTCAGTCCCCACCAGTGCTGGGATTACAGGTGTGAGCCACTGCACCTGGCCCAGCCACAATTTTTAATTCTCCTAATTTATTTATTTATTTATTTTTTATTTCTTTGAGATGGAGTTTTCCTCTTGTTGTCCAGGCTGGAGTGCAATAGCATGATCTTGGCTCACTGCAACCTCCGTCTCTCGGGTTCAAGCGATTCTCCTGCGTCAGCCTCCTGAGTAGCTGGGATTACAGACGTGCGTCACCACACCTGGCTAATTTTTGTATTTTTAGGAGAGACGGGGTTTCACTATATTGGCTAGGGTAGTCTCAAACTCCTGACCTCGTGATCCTCCTGCCTCAGTCTCCCAAAGTGCTGGAATTACAGGTGTGAGCCACCATGCCCGGCCCTGGAGAGAAGATTTAACACTTGTAAAATTTTCATTTGCCAGTTTCTTAATTGGATTACTGGCTTCAGGGTGGAGCCCTTGGAGGAACAGGGCCAGGAAAGCATGCATATCTAGGGCCAAGTAAGCAGCAAATAAGCAGCTGAAGGCAAAGACAGATCCCCAGAATTAAGGGTGCCATTTTAAACTGGGTTCTCCATCCCCAAAAGGAGGGAACTACTACAGGAGAAGACAGTGCAGTGCTGCTACCCTGCGTTTCATTGCAAGGCAAACCAAAGCCAATCAGCCCATTTTGTAATTGGACCATTCCCCATAAGAGTCTTATCTCTCAGTGGGGCTGGGGGTGTTTCCACATCCTCCAGGTGGCCAAGAGCATGCTTCTCTAATCCAAGTATGCGAACAATCAGGTATTCTTCCATAACTGCTATTAGCCATGCACTAAAGTATATCTCCTACCTAGTTATTAGACACCAAGTGTTTTCAAATAAAGGGAAGTAATTTCTGATACGCCTGAAACTCAAAACCATTAGATAACGCAATGCAAAACAGAACAGAGCCTTTGATTTTGAGAGGGATTTATCTGCTTTTAATTGCTAGGGTTCTATGTGGAAAACAGAGCTTTTTTTTTTTTCTTCCAAAATGGGGTTGGTGGTGCTTCCTGTTTTTCCCAAGAAGTCCCAGGCTACCAGAAGTCATCTCAGGGCCTCTCATGTGTGCATTAAGATTGGCAAGACAAAAAAAATGGAGGAAAATAATTCAGTCAGCTGAGAAGAAAAAAAAACTTTTTCCAGGAAAAACAAGATCCAAGGAGAGAAAAACATAAAGGGCTTTTAAATATATTTATAGCACCGGGCATGGGGCTCACACCTGTAATCCCAGCACTTTGGGAGGCCGAGGTGGGCAAATCAGGAGGCCAGGAGTTCAAGACCAGCCTCGTCAACATGTTGAAATCCTGTCTCTACTAAAAATACAAAAATTAGCCAGGAGTGGTGGCGCACGCCTGTAATCCCAGCTACTCAGGAGGCTGAGGCAGGAGAATCTGCTTGAGCCTGGGAGGCGGAGGTTGCAGTAAGCTTAAATCTTGCCATTGCACTCCAGCCTGGGTGACAGAGTGAGACTCCATCTCAACAATAAAATAAATAAATAAATAAACTTCTAGCTTGTTTATCCACTTTTAATTAAGCTGACTTTTAACTATGGTGCTTTTTTAAAAAAAATTCTTTTAAATTTTTTATTACCCAACTTTAGCCATGCCAAGTGGCCAATATTTTTGGCTTTTGAATTCCATAGGTAACTTTCCACATGAAATTAATAAGTTTTAATTAAGGATATAACTTAACCATGGAAACGTGAGTGTCTCAAAGAGATGGTAAGCAGTTTCTTTTTTTTTTTTTTTTTTTTTTTACAAGATTTAGAATTTCCCCTAGGGTATTTTAGAGAAATAAAACTTCAAGACAGGAAATCAGAAGCTATCCATGGTGGGGGGAAACCTCAACAAATGGCAAAGTTACATAAGTAAAAAAACCAGAAGGGAATCATTCCAGAAGCCAAGAATAGAACCCAGGCTCAGGCCGGCACGGTGGCTCACGCCTGTAATCCCAGCACTTTGGGAGGCCGAGGTGGGTGAATCACCTGAGGTTGGGAGTTCAACACCAGCCTGACCAACATGGAGAAACCCCGTCTCTACTAAAAATATAAAAAAATTAGCCAGGCGTGGTGGCGCATGCCTGTAATCTCAGCTACTCAGGAGGCTGAGGCAGGAGAATTGCTTGAACCCAGGAGGCGGAGGTTGAGGTGAGATGACATGGTGCCATTGCAATCCAGCCTGGGCAACAAGAGTGAAACTCCGTCTCAAAAAAAAAAAAAGAAAAAAAAAATTAGAACCCAGGCTGCCATTGTCAAAAGACAAAGCCCTGGCCACTGAGTTACAGCATTGAGCAGTTTCTATTGCTCTTCCCAGAAGGAGCCTAGAGAAGCCAGTTTAAAAGTTGCAAAGGTTTTTAGCTGCTCAAGAAAATGTTTAGGGCTGACTATGACATGAATCCCCAAGTTCCTGTCTTCTAGATGGCAGAAACCAGGAGAAAGTATCCCCACATGGTCACAAGGTTAAGCTCTTAAGGACACAAAACAAGACAGAGAAATTTCATCTGCTATTGGTTTCAGGGACCCATAGCAGTTTGCAGCTGAACAGCCTGCCAGGCTGGCTTGAAAAGTGGGCTTGAAAGTGGGTCCTGAACCCACGTTCTATCCTGTGATACTCCTTTCTCCATTACAGAACACAGAAAGACAAATTCTTAGCACAAAGTACACCAGATTTGCTACCACCTAAAACTAGTTTCACAAATCCTTTTTCTATTAATCAAACGCTTGCAGAGAGACAAATAGTGACGTTTACTGTTTACCCAGACAGCGAAAGAGAGAGAGAGAGACCAGAAACTTGGCTGGTAAGAATTTCTTACCCTTTTTGCCAGCATACTAGGCTTCCTGGCTCCCCTTCTCTGCAGCTTCCAGAACAGAGTGGTTTCTAATGACCCTGCTCACTGCACCATGGCTGTGGGAATCAAGCCACTTTACAAGAGAAAATCACCCTTTCCTGAGCTTTACGGAACCACAGACAAGATTCTTAATTGGCAAGATGCTGCCCAACAGGCTGCATGGGGAACCAAATTAACATTTTCCATCCCAGCAAAACACACATAACAAAACACACATTAGCCACCTCGTTCAGCACCCAATATCAGCCTGGCAAAGCTCAAAAACTTTTTCCCGTTGGTCCCTGTTGTCTTTGATCCACTCCAGGTGGGGAGGGATGACCTTAGAATAGTAATTCACAATGGGGTCTCTCGGCAAGACGAAGAGCAGATAGTCACCCCGAGACAGGCCTGTTGAGCCTTCTCTAGGGCTCATCAAATGTGACCAGACAAATAAGGAGGGTTTTGAGTTAGGTCTGCTGGACTTCCATCAGTAACCTCTTCTGAGATCCCTTCCACATATACAAACACACACAAAGATGAGAGGACACAGGCCTTCCCAATTAGATCCCTAACCAAGACCTCCAGGAGTATCCCTTCCAAACTATCTTTCTATTCTCCTTCTGAGAAACCTCCTCAAAATCTTCCTAATTGAGAAGAAGTCTCCCAAACCAGAAGTCTTCCTACTAGTTAGAAGGAGCCAACCAAGACTCCCCAGGAGCTGAACAGACACCCTCCAATGGGGCTACAGACACAGACATCCCATGATGGAGCTACAAATAGACATCCCACCACAGGGCTACAGAACCAGTCAGGAGAAGGAAGGAGGCATTGGCAGTGCATAGGATACTAACCAATCTGGATTAGACAACCTGCAATGGGGTTACAGACAGACACCCCACCATGGGGCTACAGACAGACACCCCATGATAGGGCTACAGTTAAGGGATGTCTCCCCGTGACTATTTCTCCACTGCAATTAAATCCATGCACATTGGGTCAGCAGTGCCCCACCAGTAGTGAGAGTATCAGGGTCAGCCTCCAGTCCAAGAGAACTAGGCAGCTGCTTGGGCAGGCTTCTGGATCCATTGCTAGAGGGCTGCCACTGAACCATGGGCAGGTAGTCACAAGGGCAATCCCGGACGAGCTACCAAATTTGTAACTGTCCAGGGGGTTCACCTTGCCCACCACTTAGATAGAGCAGATTTATTAAAACAGGGGAATTGCAGTAGAGAAAGAGTAATTCACGCAGAGCCAGCTGTGTGGGAGACCAGAGTTTTATTATTACTCAGATGAGTCTCCCTGAGCATTCAGGGAGCAGAGTTTTTAAGGATAACTTGGTCGGTGGGGGGAAGCCAGTGAGCCAGGAGTGCTGATTGGTCAGAGATAAAATCTTAGGGAGTCAGAGTTGTTTTCTTGAATTCAGTCAGTTCCTGAGTGGGGGCCACAAGATCAGATGAGCCAGGTTTTTTATCTGGGTGTTGCCATCAAGTGCAGGGTCTACAAAATATCTCAAGCATTGATTTTAGAAGCAGTTTAGGGAGTGTCAAGATTCTGTAGCCTCCAGCTGCATGACTCCTAAACCATAATTTCTGATATTCTGGCTAATGTTAGTCCTACAATGTCAATCTATTCCCCAGGCAAGAAGGAAAAGGGCTGTTTGGAAAAGGGCTGTTACCATCTTTGTTTAAACTATAAACTATACACTAAGTTTTCCCCAAAGTTAGTTCAGCCTACCTCCAGGAATGAACAAGGACCCCTTGGAGATTAGAAGCAAGATAAAGTCAGTTAAGTTAAATCTCGTTCACTGTCTCAGTCATAATTTTGCAAATGTGATTTCATGTGTCCACGTGGGGCTTTGACTGGAAATCACTGTTGTTATTTTTTTTTTGCTGCCCATGACAACATTTGAATGAGTCTTTTATAATTCTAGTTCAATTTCTCTGAAGAGAAAAGTAACCATTGTTTTGAAGTGACTCATGCACTTCTCTTTTTAGTCTGACAGCCCTGACAGAATATGTTAGCTATTCTCCAGATTTTATTTTAAAGTCCTAAAAAAATTTGATTTTTGCGGGGTTAACTTTTACATATTGTTTTTCAAAATTAATATAATTTTTAATTGACAAATTGTAATTGTATACGTGTATGGGATACATGATTTCAATACAGGTAAGAGACAGCGTAATGTAGAATACTGCCGTAAGATAGGAAGGCAGCAGATGGAGCCAAGTGTGTTGGCATGTACCTGTAATTGAAGCTACTCAGGAGGCTGAGGCAGCAGGATTGCTTGAGCCCAGGCATTTGAGTCTAGCCTGGGCAATGTAGCAAGACCCATCTCAAAAAAAATTAAAAAAGAAAGATGGAAAAAAACAAACCCAGGGATTCTCCACAATTAGTATATAAAAATAAAAAATAGGCCAGGCGTGATGGCCCACACCTGTAATCCCAGCACTTTGGGAGGCTGACGTGGGTGGATCATTTGAGGTCAGGAGTTTAAGACCAGCCTAGCTAACATGGTGAAACCCTGTCTCTACTAAAAATACAAAAATTAGCCAGGTGTGGTGGCGCACACCTGTAATCCCAGCTACTCTGGAGGCTGAGGCACAAGAATTGCTTGAACCCGGGAGGTGGAGGTTGCAGTGAGCCGAGATGGCACCACTGCACTCCAGCCTGGTGACAGAGCAAGACTCCATCTCAAGACAAATAAACAAGTAAATAAAAATAAGCAAGAAATAAAATAAGAAATAAAGGTAGCAGATGGAGATTTAGGAGACAAGGACTCCAGACATGCTCTTGCTTATTCTATACCTATAGTTCTCACTGTGTGGTCGGGGGATCCCCATGGAACTCCTGAGATCTTTCAGGGGATCTGCAAGGTCAAAACTATTTTCATAATCATACTATGACACTGTTTTCACTCTCACAAGTGTAGACTAGAATTTACTTTTCCCCTTCTTCCCTTCTTCTCTTTCTTTTTTTTGACAGGGTCTCACTTCACTCCCCAGACTGAAGTTCCATGGCATGATCATGGCTCTCTGCAGCCTCAACTTCCCAGCCTCAAGCAACCCTCCCATCTCAGCCTCCTGAGTTGCTGGAACCACAGGTGTGCATCACCACGCCCAACTAATTTTTAAGTTTTTGTAGAAACAGGGTCTCTTTATGTTGCTGAGGCTGGTTCAAACTCCTGAGCTCAAGCGATCTTCCCACCGCAGCCCTCCAAAGTGCTGGGACTACAGGCATGAGCCACTGTGCCCGGCTTAGACTGGAATTTTCAACAGGCTAATGCTCTGTGATATTGCAGTAGACTAAAGATGCAGAAGTATTAGAGACTCCAGCTGCTTTCTGCTGAGTCAGACATGAGTAAGATGTGCAAACTGTAAGTCAGTGCTACTCTTCTCAGACTTTTTAACAATTTTTCTGTTTTGGCTTCTGATACAGTAAATATCAACAGATATAATCCCCACATGAAAGCCCCCTGGAGTCCTCATTTTCAAGAGTGTAATGGGGCCTTGAACCAAATCATTTGAGAACCCCTGCCCTAGAAGTAAGAGTGTTTTAAACCCACAGCAAGCCGGCCTCTCTGGGTCTCAGTGTATCCTTTACCTAAAGGAAGGATATGAGATAAGATGATTTCTAGTATCTCCAGATCTGGACAGGTGAAGATGGCCTAACTTGGCTGGTGGGTTTATAAGCGAGTCTGACTTGTGAGGGTGAAGGGAGGGGAGGGCCCCCACACAGCTAATTGTTCCACAGCGTGGCGCTCTGGGTCTCAAAGGAGAGAGATTCCTGCTTCCCTGTTTTGCTGTTTGGTGCTTTTGTGTTCTGCTATAAGCAACAGAGAACTTGGCCAAATTAAAATGTTGCTGGGGAGTGAGTGGTAGGAAAAATTAGGATTGTGTGCTATATTTTGGGGGGTTCTTCAGAGAAACAGAATCCATAGGATACACATAGTATATGAGATTGATTATGGGAATCAGCTCACACGATTCTGGAAACTGAGAAACTCCACCACCTGCTCTCCGCAGGCTAGAGAGCCAGGAAAGCCAGTCGGGGAATTGAGTCTGAGCTTGAAGGCTGGAGAAGTGTAACTGCCCAATGGGCTCACCTTGCCCAGTGCCTGGATAGAGCCGATTTAGCAAGATAGAGGAATTGCAGTGGAGAAAGTGTAATTCACGCAGAGCCAGCTGTGCAGGGGAACGGAGTTTCGTTGTTACTCAAATCAGTCTCCCCAAACATTTGGGCAGCAGAGTTTTTAAGGACAGCTTGGTGGGTGTGAGGAAGCCAGTGAGCCAGGAGTGCTGATTGGTCAGAGATTAAATCATAGGGAATTGAAGCTGTCCTCTTGCACTGAGTCAGTTCCTGGGTGGGGGCCACAAGATCAGGTGAGCCACTTAATTAATCTGCATGATGCCAGCTGATCCATTAAGTGCAAGGTCTGCAAAACATCTCAAGCCACTGATCTTAGGAGCAGTTTAGGGAGGGTCAGAATCTTGTAGCCTCCAGCTGCATGTCTCTTAAACTATGATTTCTAATCTTGTGGCTAATGTTAATCCTACAAAGACAACCTAGTCCCCAGGCAAGAAGGAGGTCTGCTTTGGGAAAGGGCTTTGTTTTAAACTATGGTCTTTGTTTTAAACTATAGGCCGGGCACAGTGGCTCACGCCTGTAATCCCAGCACTTTGGGAGGCCGAGGTGGGTGGATCACGACGTCAGGAGATCGAGAACATCCTGGCTAACACGGTGAAACCCTGTCTCTACTAAAAATACAAAAAATTAGCTGGGTGTGCTGTTGGGCACCTGTAGTCCCAGCTACTCGGGAGGCTGAGGCAGGAGAATGGTGGGAACCCAGGAGGTGGAGGTTGCAGTGAGCCGAGATCACGCCACTGCACTCCAGCCTGGGCGACAGAGTGAGACTCTGCCTCAAAAAAAAAAAAAAAAAAGGTAAACTATAAACTAAGTTTCTCCCAAAGTTAGTTCAGCTTATGCCCAGGAATGAACAAGGGCAGCTTGGAGGTTAGAAGCAAGAAGGAGTCAGTGAAGTTAGATCTCTTTTGCTGTTTCAGTCATTAATTTTGCAAAGGTGGTTTCAGAAGCAGGAGCACTGATGTCCGAGGACAGGAGAAGGTGAATGTCCCAGCTCCGAGAGAATGTGCCTTTCCTCCACTCTTCTGTTCGGCTCCTCAACGGATGGAACGATGCCTGCCCGCGTGGGTGAGGGCGGATCTTCCTTACCTAGTCTGATAGAAACGCTAACCTCTTCCAGACTCACCCTTACAGACACACCTAATAATAATGTTTTACCACTTCTCTTGACATCTCTTCCCAGTCAAGTTGACACATAAGATTAACTTCCACAGTTGCTCTGTCCAAGTAAAGGGTTTTGCCAGGGCCCTTGACCTCAAGAGACAGAAGAACCTGAGAGCACACTGGGAGGCCATGTCACAACCCTGTGAAAGGGTGGGGAAGAACTCTCTGTCCATGTCCCTGGATTTCTAGATGTTCAGAGCTGGATGGGCCCATGAGGAGTCTTTGGTCCAACTTCCCAACAAAACAGTCTCGTTCTCGCAGCCTCCCAGGCAGGATTGCTGGGCCTTAATGTCCAGGGAAGCTGATGAGCAGGAGTGTGGGAGCGAAGCCTTCCCTTCTTCCCTTCCTGGTCACAATCAGGAAAGGGAGTTGCTCCTGCTGACCTATAGAATCTCGATTTCAAGACTGACTGATTCTACAACCAAACGAGAAAACGAGAATTCTTACGTAAGTTCAGAGTAACAACTGTATGCAAGACTCACTCCCACCTGTGTCCTCCTCGACTCATTCTTCCCCACCTCCTGTGTTTCAGTGCGTAACAAACTGCCATGGACTGGGTGGCTTATAAACAACAGGATTTTTTTTTGTTTGTTTTTTGAGACAGGGTCTCATTCTGACACCCAGGTTGGACTGTAATATGATTGATCATAGCTCACCACAACCTCAAACTCCTGGGCTGAAGTAGTCCTCCTGCCTCAGCCTCCCAAGGAGCTGGGACTCCAAGCACAAGCCACCATACCCAGCTAACTTTTAATTTTTTGTAGAGATGAGGTCTCTCTATTTTGCCAGACTGGTCTCAAACTTCTGGCCTCAAGTGATTCTCCTGCCTTGCCCTCCCAAAGATTTGGGATTACAGGAGTGAGGTACTACACCTGGCCCAACAGAAATCTATTTCTCACAGCTCTAAAGGCTGGGAACTCCAAGATCAAGACACCAGCAGGTCTGGTGTCTGGGCTGGTCTGGTGTCTGGTGAGGACCCGTTTTCTGTGCTACTGATGGCCATATATGTTCCTTAGCTATAATCTCACATGGTGGAATGGACAAGGGATTGCTCTGTGGCCCCTTTTATAAGGGCACTAATTCTCCCTTCAGGGGGCTCCACTCACATGACCTAATCACCTCTCCAAAGCCTCATCTCTTAATACCCTCATCTGGGGGGTTAAGATTTCAACATATGAATTTGGCAGAGACACGGACATTCCATTTATACCAGCACCTCTTTATATTAGGTTTCATGCAAGCAAGCCCCGTCTTTCCCCAATATCCCACCCTTCACTTCTGTCCTGGAAACTTCGGGGACGCCAATCATGTACTCTTTTTTACAGCAATTAGCTTTCTCCATCCGCTGGTGCTGCTCCGCAGTCCTCCGCTCTCCCTCCTTCCTCTTCTTAACCTGGGGAGGGCAGAGGGATGATTGTCACTAACACCCAGGACCAGCAGAGGGCAGAAGAGAGTAGCAGGAACCTCCAGTGGAGCAAAATGAGGGACTCTCCTCTCAGTTAAGCAGGTGAGCCAAGGCCAGGCCTCTGGGCTACATATACAGTCCCAGGGGGAGAGAGCGAGGTCAGGTCTAAGACGCGGGGATGCCCCAGCTCAAGATGTGCTGCAGCAGCAGCTGGAGTCGGGCTCCTGAAAAGAGTCGAGCTCAGTGTGGTTAGGAAAAACATTGCAACAGCAGTTTCAGGCTACTTCCGTTTTCTTTCTTATTTTTATCTTTAGAAGCTCAGTATATTAAAAAAAAAAAAAAAGAAATGACAAAGCAGAGTTACGAAACTCTGGTGTGTTTTAAATGTTTACATCGAATACACTTCCTTTTACAGAAAACTCAAGATTCCAGTACACTGAGCAATGATATGCTTATTTCTGTGAGCACAAAAAAGACAGTGATGAAAATACTTGACTAATGAAAAATTTGGAAGTTTGGGGTTTTTTTTTTTTTTGCAAAATGATTTCACTCTGGGACTTTTGATGTTATACCATCAGGAGCTTGAGTGACAGCCATTGTTTTATTATTATTATTTGAATTGGGGGTCTCGTTCTGTTACCCAGCCTGGAGGGCAGTGGCACAATTATAGCTTACTGCAGCCTCGAACTCCTGGGCTCAAGAGATCCTTCTGTCTCAGCCTCCTGAGTAGCTGGGACTACAGGTGCACACTACCATGCTTGGCTAATTTTTTAAACATGTTTTTGTAGAGATACGGTCTTGCTATGTGTGGTGTGGCCAGCCTAATCGCAAACTCCTGGCCTCAAACAATCCTCCCTTCTCAGCCTCCCACAAGCACTAGAATTACAAGCATTAGCCACCACACCCAGCCACAGTCATCATTAAAGGAAAAAATACTCTGTCCAGGTGCAGTGGTTCACACCTGTAATCCTAGCACTTTGGGAGGCCAAGGCGGGTATGTCACTTGAGCCAAGGAGTTCAAGACCAGCCTGGGGCAATATGGCAAAACCCTGTCTCTACAAAAAGTACAAATATTAGCCAGGTGGGTTGTGATGTGCACTTGTAGTCCCAGCAGCCTGGGAGGTTGAGGTTGGAAGATCGCTTGAACCTGGGGAGGTCGAGGCTGTGAACCATAATCAATCACGACTGCATTCCAGCCTGGGTGGCAGAGTGAGACCCTTCTCAAAAAAATATTCCGATGCTTTTTGAAATGGTAACAGAGACTTTATTTAGCACGATTCCAGCAGGGGTATTGTAATAGAGCAGAGAGAATGGACTCAACCCTGAATGCAACAAGGGAACGTTGGGATTTATGGCTAGGGAACAGGTTGGGAGTCAGTGGACAGAGATTACTAAGAGGATATAGTAAAGGTGAAAAAGATTCTGTTAGACTTTAATCAGACTCCTGAACCTGGCCTAACAGAACTTTAGTCAGGCTCCTGAACCTTCTCCTAGACCCATCTGTGCATTTCCTTATAAAATCCAGCTTTAACAAGAATCCTGCTAAGTCAGTTTAACAAGAATATCCTCATCCTTGGTATCTGACTCCTCAATGGCAGATTGGGTTCCTTATTTTTCATTATCCCCCAGGCAATGTTCAATTACCCCGGCCTGCCTTCAGCAAGAGTATGTTAGGCCAGTTCAACCAGAACCCCCTTACCCCTGATATTTCCTCTTCGTAATTTTTTATCTACTGACCCCCACCCTTCTCTTTGGTTATAAATACCCCCTCTTCCTTGTTGTATTTGGAGTCCGACCCAACCTCTCTCCCACCGCTAGATCCCACTGCCATGTTACCTACACTTATCACAAGGGTCCAGAACAAAGTCAGCCCTCCCATCCTTTAATAAGTACCATTGAATAATTTTTCCTTAACAAGGGTAGGGATATTCTTGCTAAAGTGATCTAACAGGATTCTTGCTGAAGACAGGCCAGGGTGATCAGATATCACCTGGGGGATTGTGAGGGATGAGCAACCCAATCAGATATGAGAATAGTCAGATATCAATGTGGGGAATGACTTAGCAGGATTCTTGCTAAAACTGGGCTAGGCAGGTTGATGAGAGGATGGGGGCCAAGGACAAGGCCTGGTTGAGGAGAAGATTCCGAGGAGTCTGACTGAAGTTTGGTAGAGGAGGGAATCTTTGTCACAGTTCACTGTAACATTAAAGTCTGGACTTTTTTTTCCTTTTTAACATTCTATCACACTTGGAAATGTCTTGCAACAATATTGTACTTTGAACAAAATAGTTACAGGACTATGAAAAAGAATCTTAGACATGCTACACTGTAGGCAGCATGGCCTGGACATGGACCTGTGCTTACAGCTGTATGGTAGAAAGAACCTGTGTGAAGGTGAGTTTAAGTATCGGAGTGTGAGAGGCCTTCTGAGGACACAAAGCTTCTCTGTGCCTCACCCACAATGGTGTCTTGGTGAATGCCTTTAGACTGAGTGAGCATTCATCTAGTCTGAGACTTCTTATCTACTGCATTTTTTTTTTTTTTTTGGAGAAACAGAGGTCCCACTATATTGCCCAGGCTGGTCTTGAACTCTTGGCTTCAAGTTATCCTCCTGCCTCAGCCTCTCAAAGTGCTGGGATTACAGTCATGAGTCACCACGGCCTGGTCTGTCTACTGCATCTTAAAGGAGCAGATGCTTGCTTTTTTTTTTTGAGACAGGGTCTCACACTGTTACCCAGGCTGGAGTGCAGTGGCACAATCATGGCTCACTGTAACCTTGAACTCCTGGGCTCAAGAGATCCTTCTGCCTCAGCCTCCTGTGTAGCTTGGGACTACAAGTCCATGCCACCATGCCCAGCTAATTTGTTTTTTAAATATATATATATTTTTTGTAGAGACAGACTGTTGTTATGTTGCCCAGACTGGTCTCAAACTCCTGGCCTCAAGTGATCTTCCTGCCTCAGCCTCTCGGGGTGTTGGGATTACAGGTATGAGCCACCATGCCTGGCCTACATGTCTACTTTTGATCCTGGGAATAGGCAAGCATCCTCCCTTCCCTCCTCTTTTATGATTGTTCCCTGTACATCCACCTCCAGCTCCAGGACTCTACCTCTCATCAAGGCTGACCAGAAGCAAGATGATGGAAGCCAAGAGAGCTCCTCTGCATGCTCCACTGTCTAAGCTCTGCTCTGCATCTGCCGTGATTCTTCTTCCAAACAGAAAACACCGTCTTTCTTTTTGACTACATCTGTCCTCAGAGATGGTGCTGATGGATCCATTTATAATTTATGTGAATTTAAACCTTTGCAATTTTTACATGGAATAAAAGGACCTATTTTCTGGAAAGAAAATGCTGAACAAGAGCTGAGAACCTGGGGCAATCTAAGGCAGGGGTTCCTCCCTAACACCCCTGCTGTCAGAAGCCAGCTGGTTGGCCATAGATCACTTCACCTAACACCCAGTGCCCAGTCACATTTGCCCCCAAATTGTACAACTCAAGCTTAACTTTCACATATTTTAAGATAGTGTCAGCCCCTTTTGCAATATGTAGATGATACTTTTTGTTTGTCATTTACCATTTCAAAAAAATTAAAGCATATTGAATATCTAACTTAAAGCATATTGAATATCTAGCTTGCTTTCCTCTCAGGTTACTAATAAGAATTGCATTTTTTAATGCTTAATCACATATTAAGCTTTCCATTTGGGAGTTTTGCTCTTTTGTTCTTTAAATGGTGTCTCAGTCCATTTGGGCTGCTATAACAAGGTCCACAGACTGGGTAGCTTATCAACAACAGAAATTTATTTGTCACAGTTCTGGAGGCTGGAAAACCAAGATCAGAGCTCCAGCATGGTCAGGCTCTGGTGAGGGCTGTCTTCCAAGTTGCAGACTGCCAACTTTTTGTTGTATCCTCACATGGCAGAAAGAGGCAAGAGAGCTCTCTGGCCTCTTCCTATAAGGACACTAATACCATTCAAGAGGGCTCCATTCTTGTGAGCTAATTACTTCCCAAAGTTCTCACCTCCTAATACCATCACACTGGGGATTTCAACACATGAATTTTAGTGGGGCACAGTCAGTCCACTATAAATGAATATTACCAATATTTCCATTTGCCTTCTTGCATGGCCTGCAGGAGGTCAGTGTTTTTTCTCCTCTAATGATATTGAGCTGCGGTTGGGCCCATAATGGTGAAAAGACCCGATGAAGGCCATCTCGTCCATTCAGGCTACTCTAATAAAATACCATGAACTGGGGGTGCTGATAAACAATAGAAATGGATTTCCCACAGTTGTGGAGGCTGGAAGTTCAAGATCAAGGCACAAATAGACTCAGTGCCTGGTGGGAACCCATTTCTTAATTCACAGATGGTGTTTTCTTGCTGTGTTTCTATACCCTAATGGAAGGGGCAAGGCAGCTCTTGGAGGTCTCTTTTATAGGCACTAACGCCATTTATGAAGGCTGCACACTTATGACCCAATCACCTTCCAAAGTTCCCACCTCCAAATATCATCACCTTGGTGACTAGATTTTAACATGAATTTAGAGGGGACACAAATATTTAGACCACAGCAGGTCTGTTAGCTTCACAATAGTCATGGTTCTGGCTTTCAATTCACACATATTATGGGGTCATAAAATATGTATCACCACATAAATAAATTCCCTAATCTTAAATCACTATCATATGTAATATTGTATGATGTGTTATTTGAAATAATGAAGCAAAAAGAAGACACAATAACTTAAATGCGAAAATACAGAAATTTAGAAAAAAGAAAAGTCTAATCTATTGTTTTACTACACAACTAGAATTGTCCCCACTTCGGGGAATTTGCTTCTAGCTTTTCAAAAGCTTATATGTCAGCCAGGTGCTGTGGCTCATGCCTGTAATTCCAGCACTTTGGCAGGCCGAGGCCTGAAGGTTGTTGAGCCCAGGAGTTCAAGACCAGCCTGGGCAACGTGTGGAGACCTCATCTCCATTTTATTTTATTTTATTTTATTTTATTTTATTTTATTTTATTTTATTTTATTTTATTTCATTTTATTTCATTTTATTTATTTATTTATTTTTTTGAGATGGAAACTTGCTCTGTCGCCAGGCTGGAGTGCAGTGGCGTGATCTCAGCTCACTGCAACCTCTGCCTCCTGGGTTCAAGCCATTCTCCTGCCTCGGCCTCCTGAGTAGCTGGGACTACGGGCGTGTGCTACCACGCCCAGCTAATTTTTGTATTTTTCAGTAGAGGCGGGGTTTCACCATGTTGGCCAGGCTGGTCTCAAACTCCTGACTTGTGATCCACCCGCCTCGGCTTCCTACAGTGCTGGGATCACAGGCGTGAGCCACCACGCCCAGCCAATAATTCTTTCTTTTAAGTGTTCCTACTATTTATTGTTTTTAATTATTCAAAATCTTATTTTTATTTGTACATGCACAGGGCCTAAAAATTAAAATGCTATAAATGGAACACAATGAAAAACAATTTTTTTAAAAAAATTCAGATCTCTAGTTTCCCAATTTCTCAGTTCCTCTCTCCAGAGGCAAACACTGTTACCCAAATTCTTATAAATCCTTCCAGAAAGATGGCTATGTTACTAAATACCCCTTTCCTTGTATTTGCACAAATAAAAGCACCTAAAAACTGAATTTTGGACACACAGACATATGCTCGATTTTTTTTTGTATGTAGAACGAAATAACTTTTTCTCATGCTTTTTCAAAACCAAGTATTTTTTGGTTCTGTCAAAATTGATTTATACACTCTCCTAAAAACCCATGTGACTGAAAGTACCAGCGCATGAGACAAGGAGGCTAATCAAGATATAAATGAACATATTGCTCTGTACTTTGAGACAGTCTAGAGCCTGGCGCAGTGGCTCACGCCTATAATGCCAGCACTTTGGGGGGCCCAGGTGAGAGGATCACTAGATCCCAGGAGTTTGAGACCAGGGCAACATAGTGAAACCCCATCTCTACAAAAAAATTAGCTGGGTGTGGTGGCATGTGCCTGTAGTCCCAGCTACTCAGGGGGCTGAGGTGGGAGAATTGCTTGAGCCTCGGAGGTCGAGGTTGCAGCGAGCTGTGATGTTGCAGCGAGCTGTGATCGTGCCGCTACACTCCAGCCTGGGCGACAGAGTGAGACCCTGTCTCAAAAAAAAAAAAAATAGAAAGGAAGGAAGGAAGGAGAAAGAAAGAAAGAAAGAAAGAAAGAAAGAAAGAAAGAAAGAAAGAAAGAAAGAAAGAAAGAGTCTTGTAATGTGCTTAGTAATGTAGTTGTTAGAGATGCTGGCACGAGTTCTCATCTTGTCACGAACAGGTTAAAAAGCAGTTCCCAGGCTGGCCCTTGCCTGGGAACCACACCAGATAGCAGATTGTCCCAGTTTTGAGATATCACATACAGTATTTCAATGAACATCTTTGTATACATACATATTTTCTGTATTAATTACAAATATATCTGTAGGATAAATTCTTAGACATAGAAACACTAGTTCAGTGGATACATTTATTAACAATACTGATGGCTCTTGGTCAAATGGAGAAAATAGTCATGGCAGCATACATTACATTCTGAATGTACAATGCTGCAAAATTTCCTCATCTTGCCAACATTGTGTTTTACCAAATCTCTTTTTAATTAATTAATTAATTTATTTAGAGACGGAGTCTCGCTCTGTCGCCCAGGCTGGAGTGCAGTGGCGTGATCTCGGCTCCCTGCAAGCTCTTTCTCCTGGGTTCATGCCATTCTCCTGCCTCAGTCTCCCGAGTAGCTGGGATTACAGGTGCCCGCCACCATGCCCAGGTAATTTTTTTCTGTATTTTTAGTAGAGACGGGGTTTCACCGTGTTAGCCAGGATGGTCTTGATCTCCTGACCTCGTGATCCGCCCGCCTCGGCCTCCCAAAGTGCTGGGATTGCAGGCGTGAACCACTGCGTCTGGCCCCAAATCTCTTAATCTTTATTTTTTGAAATGCTAATAGATGATTATTATTTTTTGGAGATGGGGCCTCGCTGTGTTGCCTGGGCTGGCCTTGAACTGCTGGGTTCAAGTGATCCTCCTGCTTTAACCTCCTGAGTAGCTGAGATGACAGGCAGTCCCCACCATGCCTGGCTGATTTCTTGTTTTAATTTCTATGTATTTAATTATCAGTATATCAAGCATATTTTAAAGACATTTTATAAGTCCTTTGTGTATTTTTCTTTTCTGTGAACTGCAGGTTTACACTTTTTTTTTCTTTTTTGTGGAGAAAGGGGTCTCACTATATTGCCCAGGTAGGTCTCGAATTCCTGGGCTTAAGCTATTTGTCTGCCTCTACCTCCCTAAGAGCTGGAATTCCAGGCATAAGCCACCACAGTCGGCGAACTGCGTGTTTTAGTCATTTGCCCATTTTGCTTTCTAACAGAATATTAATCTTTATTGAGTTGACCTGTACAAATCCTTTTAGACATATGTAACTGGCCATTGAACTGATCTGTACAAACCTTTTAGATATATATAATACTGGCCTGTTGCTGCTAATAACATACTTCCAATTGGACTTTTTATTGCCTTGAAAAATGCCTAATTTTACGTAGGTACCAGTATCTTATGGATTCTGCATTTCATATCTTAATTTAACAGGCATTTACCAATCCGATATTATGAATATAATCTTCCATTGCTTACTCCCACCAACAGTACACAGTTTATTCTTAACAGTGTAGAGGTTAAGGGCATCGACAGCCCCAAACACACACACAGAGGGGAAAAGCTACATGTAAATTCCAACTCCCCCAAAACTTTACTAATACCTTATGGTTGACAGGAAGACTTACCAATAACACAAGCAGCTGATTAACACATATTTTCAATGTCATACATATTATATACTATATTCTTACAATAAAGTAAGCTAGAGACTAGAAAATGTTATTAAGAAAATCATAAGGAAGATAAAATACATTTATTATTCATTAAATGGAAGTAGGTTGATCATCATAAAGGTCTTTATTCTCATCATCTTCACACTGAGTAAGCTGAGCAAGAGGAGGAGAGGTTGGTCTTGCTATCTCAGGAATGGCAGAGGCAGAAGAAAATCCACATATAAGTGCACCTGCACAGTTCAAATCCATGTTGTTCAAGGGTCCACCGTAGGTACTAAATTTTTCACTCTATATGACAACAAATTTTATGGAGTGGAAGAAATTACTCTACCTATAGTGTGTGCAGAGGGAGATGAGATTAAGATACTACCTGTTGTATGAGCAGAGGGAGATGAGATTAAGATACTATCTGTAGTATGAGCAGAGGGAGATGAGATTAAGATACTACCTATAGTGTGTGCAGAGGGAGATGAGATTAAGATACTACCTGTAGTATGAGCAGAGGGAGATGAGATTAAGATACTACCTGTAGGGTGTGCAGAGGGAGATGAGATTAAGATACTACCTGTAGTATGTGCAGAGGGAGATGAGATTAAGATACTACCTGTAGTATGTGCAGAGGGAGATGAGATTAAGATACTACCTATAGTGTGAGCAGAGGGAGATGAGATTAAGATATTACCTGTAGTATGAACAGAGGGAGATGAGATTAAGATATTACCTATAGAGTGTGCAGAGGGAGATGAGATTAAGATACTACCTGTAGTGTGTGCAGAGGGAGATGAAATTAAGAAGCCAGCGTAGGTACAAAAGGGATTAAAATTCAACCTGCCTGGCTTTGCCTGGTGGCTCACACCTGTAAGCCTAGCACTTTGGGGTGCCAAAATGGATGAATCTCTTGATTCGAGGAGTTTAAGACCAGATTGGGCAACATGGCGAAACCGTCTCTACAAAACAAACAAAGAAACAAACAAGCAAACAAAAAAAAACACACAAAAATTTAGCCGGGTGTGGTGGCGCATGCTTGTAGTCCCAGCTACTCTGGAGGCTGAGGTGGGAAGATCACCTAATCTGGGAGGTCAAGGCTCCAGTGAGCTGTGATTGCACCACTGCACTCCAACCTGGGTAACAGCGAGACTCAAAAAAAAAAAAATAAAAGTCGACCTGCCTGACCATAGGACATCAGCAGACAGAGGCCAATTGCTAAAGAAGGTTAATAGCTTCCTCTCCAGAGAACCTGGGTGTATCCAGAGAAAATACCTCCTTATCCTGACATTTGGAGCATCCCCAATAAAATGGATAGTTTCATGCCCAGCTCTGAAAGAGAAGCTCCCCACTTCAGGTTGTAAGCTTCATCTATGTTCTCAGAGCTTTAATCCGTTATTTTAGTGCCTCACTGTTAAATTAACAGGTAAGGATCTAGAGATATTTAAGGAAAATGTGCAAGAGACGAGAAAATAAAGGTGAGAAAACATAATGCAATGGACAAATGAAACCAAAAGAAAAAAGCTAACAGTATACTTAAAGAGATAGATAAGCAACAGCAGGATTCTATAAAGTAAGAGTAGTCTGAAAACTAGAACTCTTGGAAGTTGAAATTATGAACCAAAATTAATAAGAAAATAGTAGAGCTGGAAATTAAAGTAAATAGAATCTGTCAGAAGATAGATCCAAATGATGAACAGACAAAAGAGCCTGGGTGGATCAAGGCAGGGAGATTTTTTATTTTATTTTATTATTATTTTTTTGAGACGCAGTCTTGCTCTGTCGCCCAGGCTGGAGTGCAGTGGCGCGATCTCGGCTCACTGCAACCTCCACCTCCCAGGTTCATGCCATTCTCCTGCCTCAGCCTCCTGAGTAGCTGGGACTACAGGCGCCCGCCACCACACCCAGCTAATTTTTTTGTAGTTTTAGTAGAGACAGGGTTTCACCGTGTTGGCCAGGATGGTCTCGATCTCCTGACCTCGTGATCCGCCCGCCTCGGCCTCCCAAAGTGCTGGGATTACAGGTGTCTCCGGCCAAGGCAGGGAGATTTTTAAAAGTCAATTATTAGGATTTAAAGGAAGAGAGGGAGGAGAAAACAGAGGAGAGGAAATTATCAAAGAAATCATGGGGAAGACTTTCTTAGAACTGGTGATATCTGATCTCAGATTGAAATGCCTCCTTAAGTGTCAGTACATAAAAGAAACACGTGGCTCTGAAATTCTAGAACCAAGGAAGAAATGACCGTGTAAGCATCCAGAGAAGAGAAGAAAACTAACAAAGAAAAAACATCACCAAAAACAACAAGAATAGGAATGGCATTGTGTTTCTCAAAAGCGACATTAGGTGCCAGAAGAAAAAGGAGCAACGCTTTCAAAATTTTAAGAAAAAAGTATTGTTGTCAGGCATGGTGGCTCACTCCTGTAATCCCAGCACTTTGGGAGGCCGAGGCAGGAGGATCTCTTGAGCCCAGGCATTTGAGACCAGCCTGGGCAATATAGGGAGACCTCATCTCTACAAAAAAAAAAAAAAAAAAAAAAAAAGAAAAAAGTATTGTCAACCTAAATTTTTCAACCTAGATAAACTATTATCAAGTGTGAGAACAAAGCATCAACACTGGCCAGCCTGAAGGGCTCAGAACATTTGCCTGATGATGCCTTTTTCAGGAAGCTCGTGGGAGATGTGCTTCAGCAAGACAAGAGAGCAAATGAAGAAAGACAAAGGTACAGAGTCCAGGAAATCTTGGCTCCAACTAAGGCGAGGGGCAAGGAGAAGCTTCAGAAGAGTGACCTCTAGAGGAACCAGTGCAGAATGTGTGGGGGGATTGAGTGCCCCGAGGGTGGTCTGGAGGGAGACCCTCATAGAATTGATGGCTTGATAGACTGTGTCATGGTGTATCCAGACATAACAAGAAAATGCAGGCAATTATGAAAAAGAAGGATTTATTAACTCATGAAAAAATAAGACAGTGGGAGAAAAAATCTTAGTTCAATACTTGGCTTTGCACTGAGGAACATTAACGTGATAAATTTGTAAACATTGAATGGTTTAATGTAAAATCGTAATTATGTTGGGGAAATGGGTGGAAGGGAGTTGAAGGGTAGGTGTAAAATAACTGCATCTGCAATGGTCTTATCAGTTAGTAAATGATGTCTAAAATGGAAAAATCAAGAAATAGCAGTATAAGCCAATTTAAGTGTAAAGGGATAAGCAGCAACCCCTCCCACTGCTGCTGAATGTGCTAAAAGCAGGTGCTTCTGAGCGTGGGATGGGGTGGAGGGGGCAGGTGTTTGTTTAGGATTTTCAGTTGGCTGCATATGACAAAAAAGCACACAGTACAGTGACTTATGCAAGGCTATTGTTGTTCGCTGTCGAGAGAAAGGGCATCAGCTCATGAGGTCACCGCAGTTCCAGACTCTCGCTGTTCTTGCGCAGTCGTTGATAGTGTGTGGCTTTTGTCCTCATAGGTTCACGATGCCTTTTGTACCCCCAGGTTCTGCAGTAGATGAGGAAGGACAAAGTCTACAAGGTACATTCCAAGGAAGTCTTCCTCTTTTATAGGACCTTTAAAACTAATAGTTTTATTGATATGAGTCACTCTTCATTTCCTCCCAAATCCCCAGCCCTAGGCAAGCATTAACATCCTTTTTCTCTGTAAGATTTGTCTTTCATGGACATTTAATATAAATGGGACCTTACAGTATGTGGTCTTTTGCAAGCACCTTCTTTCATGTCATATGTGTTTAAGGCTCATCCATGTAATTGGATATATGAGTAATTGTTTACTGTTTATTGCCAAGTAATATGCCACTGTATGGATATGCCACACAATGAATATGCCGCATTTTATGTATCCCTTTGGATGTTTGGATGGTTTCCACTTTTTTGCTTTTATGAATAATGCTGATGTTAGCATCCGTGTGGAAGTTCCTGGCATGGAAGCTCCACCCAGGGGCTGGGGCAAAAGGCCCTTGGGGTTTGAATGTTCTCAGCTTGCCATGCTTAGGGCAAAGCCAGGAATTTACCCTCTGTAACTCAGAGTTGGAGGGGATGAGGAATACTGGCAGCTTCTGATGAGATGGAGAGGTGAAGGTAGAGGGGCCCCAACTTCTTGGCCACACTCACCCAGAGTGGAGCTTCCGTCATGCTGAGAAGAGTGGGCGGGGTCAGGTTCAAGGGTAAGACTCTCACAGTTCTTACAGAGGAATTTCGTAGATTTTACGCAATAATGATTTCTTCATTTGTTGCCTGCCGTTTCGACAATTTTCAGGTAAATTAAATGGTTGTTATTTTTACAATTATCATGAGTTAGGATTTTTTTTTTCTTGGAATGGGTACACTGAGCTCCTCACACTGCCTTTCTGGAAGTGGAACTCTGTCAGAGGTTCCTTAAAAAAGTGACTCAATGGCTTCTGCCAGTATCTCTCTGGCCAGCTTTATGACAGATGGCCACTCCTGTCTGCAAAGAAGGCTTGGATATGAGCAGTTTAATTAGACACATAAGCACCCCAAGTAGGGATAGTGGAAAATGGAGTTTAACTAGCATATTGCCCACAGAAAGGCTGAGTGCTTAGCGGTTTTTAAAAAGCATGTGCATCCATTAGTTTGATAAAAGTTAATTGTAAAATGTGAAAAAAAAATCAGTGCCCACCAACATCATTTTTCAATATCTTCTCCTTTGATTACATAATTGGCTTAAGCTTATACTCTAACGGGGTTGTTTTTTTATTTTTCTTTTCCAAAAAGTAGTCATGAGAATGGTATTTTAAAAGTTCTTATCTGTTTTAAAAATAGCTTTATCATGAGCTTTGGCTTGAATGAATGTTGACTGCATGTTTAAGTCAAACTTTGCTTTAAGATTTCAAGCAGGCCTGGTGCAGTGGCTCACACCTGTAATAACAGTGCTTTGGGAGATCCAGGCAGGTGGATCACTTGAGCCCAGGAGTTCAAAACCAGCCTGGCCACCATGGGGAAACTCTGTCTCTACTAAAAATACAGAAAATAGCCAGGCATGGTTGTGCACACCTGTAGTCTTAGCTACTTGGGAGGCTGAGGCAGGAGAATTGCTTGAGCCAGGGAGGTGGAGGTTGCAGTGAACCGAGATCATGCCATTGTACTCCAGCCTGGGCAACAGAGTGAGACTCTGTCTCAAAAAACAAACAAAAACATTTCTATCAAATGACGTTAAGTAGAAATCTGTGGGTGGCTTGATTGTTCTCATTTATAGATGCCTTGATTTGCCGATTTTTGCCCACAGAATTATTTCTCAGTCTTTGAAATATATTCCCAAATGTGGCACATCCTGAATCAGTTCTTGAATCACATTGTGACTTTTAATTTATTTTTAATTTTATTTAAACTAAAAAAAATCTATTTAGTGGGTACAAGTGCAGGTTTCTGAAAAGCATGTGTCGTGTAGTGGGGAAGTCGGGGTTCTTAGTGCACCTGTCACCCAATAGTGAACCTCGTACCCAACAGGTAATTCTTCAACCTCCACCTCCCCACCCTTCTACTTTTTGTGTCTCAATATCTATTCCTCCACTCTGCGTGTCCTTGTGTACACATGGTTTAGCCTCCACTTATACGTGGGAACACGCAGTATTTGACTTTCTGTTTCTAAGTTATTTCAGTCAGGATAATGCCCATCAGTTCCATCCATGTTGCTGCAAAAGACATGATTTCATTCTTTTTTATGACATTGTGCCATTTTATTTGGTAGACTGAAGCATACCTTAATTTAAGGAAGGTTTTTTGTCTTCTGCTTTGTTTGTTTGCTTGTTTTTTGAGACAGGGTCTCACTCTTGTTGCCCAGGGTGCAGTGGAGGTTGCTCACTGCAGCCTTGACCTCCTGAACTCAAAGGATCCTCCTGCCTCAAGCTCCCGAGTAGCTGGGACTATAGGCATGTGCCACCACACTTGGCTAAATGTAATTTTTTGTAGAGATGGGGTCTCACTATGTTGCCCAGGCTAGTCTTGAACTCCTGGGCTCAAGTGATCCGTCTGCCTTGGCTTCTCGAAATGTTGGGATTACAGGTGTGAGCCACTGTGTGTGGCTGGAGAGTTTTTTTCAAGTTCTTGACATTTATTCTCTTGCATTTATTCTTGTCTTTTTTGTTTGTTTGTTTTTTGAGACTGAGTCTCGCTCTGTCACTGAGGCTGGAGTCCAATGGTGCGATCTCAGCTCACTGCAAGCTCTGCCTCCTGTGTTCAAGTGCTTCTCCTGCCTCAAGCCTCCTGAGTAGCTGGGACCACATGCACATTCCACCATGCCTGGCTAACTTTTGTATTTTCAGTAGAGACGGGGGTTTTGCCATGTTGGCCAGGCCATGTTTGCCATGTTGCCACTCCTGGCCTGAAGTGATCTGCCTGCCTTGGCCTCCTAAAGTGCTAGGATTACGGGTATCAGCCACCGCGCCTGGCCTATTCTTGTCTTTGACTTATACATCTTTAATTTGGCTTTAAAATGCTCTTAAACATTTTGTCCTTTGCTCTCTCTTTTGCTCTGTTTCTCAATCATGTTCTCCACCACACTGAATGACGACGGAGTGGAGTCTGTTTTTCTTTTGTGCTGCTTTTATTGTGATCTTCATTTCTGGAGACTCTCTCCCTTTCTTTTTATCTGAGTTTGTCGCTCCATCATTTCATCTCCTTTGCATCAGATTGCCTGTGTCGTCCAACCCTTATGTTTCTTTTTCAGACCCTTACATGTGATAGACAAGACATTCTGTAAATTCTTTCATCTCACAGAGAACTAGTTCTTCCCAATTGTATTAGTTTTCTATGTCTGCCATAAGAAATTTCTACAAACTTACTGTCTGAAAAACCACAAAAGTTATAATCTTACAGTTCTGCAGGTCTGAAGTAAAATATGGGCCTCACTGGGCTAAAATCATGGCACTGGCAGGGCTGCGTTCCTCTCTGGGTTTCAGGGGAGATTCTGTTCCCCTGCGTTTCCTGCTTCCAGAGGCTTCCCTTATTCCTTAGCTCGTGGCCCTTTTCATCTGAGTCCTTCACACGTCACATCCCTCTGACCCTCCTTTTACCTTCCTCTTTCCCTTGTAAAGACCCTTATATTCGGGTCCATAGATTAGGCTCACCTGGATGGTCCGGGATACTCTCCCTACCTTCAGGTCAGCTGATTAACGAACTTAATTCCATCTGCTGCCTTAACTCTCCTTAGCTGTGTGTCTTCATCTGTTTTATGTGGCTATCACAGAATGGCACAGCCAGGGTTATTTATAATGAACAGAAATGTATTTGGCTCATCATTCGGGAGGTCTGGGAGACTGAGCGCACAGTGAGCAAAGTGCCGGCATCTGGTGAGTGGCTTCATGCTGTGTCATCCCATGACAGAAGGCAGAAGGGGCAGAGAGGGCAAGAGTAAAAGCAAGAGAGGCTGAACTTGCTTGTTTTTGTTTTGGTTGTTGTTGTTTTAAGAGACAGGGTCTCTCTCTATCATCCAGGCTGGAGTGCCGTGGCACAATCACAGATCACTGTAGCCTGGAACTCCCAGGCTCAAGTGATCCTCCCACTTTGGTCTCCCACATAGCTGGGATGATAGGTGTGCACCAGGCTGGTCTCGAACTCCTGGCCTCAAGTGATCCTCCTGCCTCAGCCTCCCAAAGTGGTAGGATTAGAGGCATGAGCCACTGCTTTTATAACAGAACTATTCTTGTAATAATGAACCCATTCCCTGGATAATGACATTAATTCATTAATAAGCGCAGTGTCCTCGTGAGCTAATCACATCTTATGAGGCCCTCACCTTCCAACACCATTGCCTTGGTGATGAGGCTTCCAGCACATGACTTTGTGGGGGGCGCATTCAAACCAGAGCACCATGTCACATCATGAGAGCGCCATGTCACATCATGGAGTGCCACGCCACATCATAAGAGCACCGTGCCAAGTCATGAGAGCACCACGCCACGTCATGAGAGCGTCACGCCATGTCATGAGAGCACTGCGTCCCTTCATGGAGCGCCACACCACGTCATGAGAGCGCCACGTTACATCATGAGAGCGCCACGTTACATCATGAGAGTGCCACGTCACATCATGAGAGCGCCACGTGACATCATGAGAGCGCCACATCCCTTCATGGAGTGCCACACCACGTCATGAGAGCACCATGTCACGTCATGAGAGCGCCACGTCACATCATGAGAGCACTGTGTCACTTCATGGAGCACCGTGCCACATCATTAGAGCACCGCGTTACGTCATGAGAATGCCACACCACATCATGAGTGTGTCGCATCATGTCATGAGAGCACCACGTCACATCATGAGAGCACCATGTCACGTCATGAGAGCGCTGCGTCACGTCATGAGAGCGCCATGTCACATCATGAGAGCGCCACGTCACATCATGAGAGCGCCACGTCACATCATGAGAGCGCCATGTCACGTCATGAGAGCACCATGTCACATCATGAGAGCACCACGCTACATCATGAGAGCACCACGTCACATCATGAGAGTGCCACGTCACATCAAGTACTTATGGTTTACAGGGGTTAGGCTATGGGCATCTTTGGGAGCCGTTATTGTGCCTGCTTTGTGGTATACCGTCATCACTCAGTGTTCTCCATTATCTTTCTGTCTGCCATATGCCTTTCCTCTTTTTGTTTTCTTCTCTGACATTATCTTTAATATTTTCCGTGATGGTTCTTTTAAAAAAATTGGTCACTGTTCTTGAAATAATGGAATTTTTCCTGGAGTAGCGCTGTTTTGGAGAGTAGTTGGGAGAAGGCCTAGCAAATATCCCCAAGGAGTCTGTGGATATCATTCAGGGGAGATCTGTGAGTTTGGATGGGAAGAATGTTCTCTTCTTTATTTTCTCTAATGAATGTGAGTGACACAGCCCATTAGTATCAGTAGGTCCTATACATTTTTCACATTAGAAATTAGATACCTTCATATTGTTACAGTTTTGCTGAAACGTCAGTTGCTGTCACCACTACTTTCAAATTATGCCAGTTATTAGGCCCGCTGCTAGATATGATTAATTGGTGCATAAATATTACAAACTTTAAAAATGTTTTACCATTCTCTTTGTCATCTCTGTGTTTTATTTCATGCACTCGAAGTCCTTGTTCTGATAAAGGATGTATCCGCGTCACCAGTCATCAGAGTGACAGCGAGGTTCGGGCACTGGAACAGTGCCAGGCCGAGGCCTGGGGACGTGCTGGCAGGGCAGGCAGCGTGAGTCCTGCCTCCTGCTTTCATCCTGTGCTCTCTGCTCCTCTTTGTGGGGTGTGGTCCTCTCCAGACTAACAGGAAGTCTCCTTGACTCACACCAAAACCTACATGTCACAGATTTGGGGTGATTTCACTTGCACTTCTCAGTGACTGGTGTCAGCATGGCTGAGGCTGGTCTTGACCTGCAGTTTCTCCCACACTGGGAACAGACAACCATTTGCTCTGGCAGATGCTCGTCCGTGTTTCCTCCCCACTTCCTGCTGTTGCTCACAGTGTCCAAAGAGGTTTTGGGGTTTGCCCGTGGACTTGACCTTGTGGTTCCAAAGAGAGCGGGGCTCAGGGTTGATGACTCCACTAGTTTGTGCTTCAGCCCTGGGAAAACCTTGATTCTCTTTGCCACCCCCAAGGTCTACAGAGGGTCTCCCTCATCCTGGCCCTCCTCTTCCCAGTCCCAGGTGCCAAGCACCTGGGGGTCAGTCCCCCACTGAGTGGTGTCTTCATAGAAGTGGAGATTCCTTTTCTGTTTCTCTTTCTTGTTGTTCGTAGTTGATTTTAGAAATGACACGGGGGCTAGAGCTTTCCCCCTGCCCTCTTTATCAGGAACTCTTTTTAGCTTTTTCTGTAACTTTTTAACAAATTGCTGATGTTATTTGCAAAAAACAGATGATACAGAATTGTGTGAAGCAGAAACTTCTTCTCCCAACTCAGTCACCTCTTTTCAGGGTGACCTCGGAGGCAAAAGTGGTATGTATTTTCCATTCTTTTCTCTATGCTTATAAATATATTTCAAGAATTCAGTCCATTTATTATTTATATTGGTATATCTGGTAAAGCGAAATACAGTTTCTTACTTTTAATAATCATATTGTTGCACAACCAATCTCCAGAATGCTTTCATCTTGCAAAAGTGAAACTCTGTACTCATGAAGCACTCATTCCCCATTCCTCTCTCCCCAATCCCCCCACCCTCTGTTTTTTTTTGTCCCTGGTTCTATTTTTTGTTTCTGTGAATTTGGTTACTGTAGAAACTTCCTATACATAGAATCGTACAGTGTGTGTCCCTTGGTGACTGGCCTGTCGCACTCAGCAAATGTCCTCAGGGTTTGTCCATGTTGCAGTGTGTGTCAGAATTTCCTTTCTCTTTAGACTATTCCGTGGTGTGTGTATAGCCCTTGTTGTTTTTCCATTCATCTGTTGCGGGAGACTGGGGTTGTCTCTACCTTTTGGCTCTTGGGCATAGCCACCTGTTATGGACAAGGAGCACTAAAATCACCGTTTTTGTTTTTTTTTTTTTTTCCTGCAGATAACTGACTGCTCTCAAATGTCCCTTATCTCTGATGAAGGAACTTGATTGTTTATTTTTTGATTATTTATTTGTTTAAAGGCAAGGTTGAAAGTCAGGTGCTGTGAATTCCAATTCCTCGAGTTTCCGGTGGGCGATATAAATGAGAGGTGTGGACGGAAAGTAGGAGGTAGTAGGGAGTGGTGAGGACTGTGGAAAACCTGAGTCCATGCTCAGTGGGGGCAGCCTGCACAAGCTCCTGGTGCCACGTTTGTTGAAGGGATGGTGGTTGACTTAGTTCTAGAATTCTAAGTTTTAAACAGAAACCTGAAATCTGACTAGTTTATGTAAAAGCCCTGATTTTACATCTTGGCAACAAACTTAGAAATGTAAGTATACTGTGAGACTGAGATTTTGTGTCTATACCTCACAATAAAGATGAATCAACTAAAAATGTATTCAAAAGAAGACAATATTTTTTAAAAGCACCGAAAATTGTGAAAAAGAAAAAAATGTAGGTGGGATTGAATTTATTCCCTCATATATGAAACTGTTTATATTTCAGCAATGAAATAAAATATAAGTGACTCAGTCACTGGTTTTTAGTCAAGCCATGTATGCCTCACAAAAATCATACTATTGGCTGGGCGTGGTGGCTCGCGCCTGTAATCCCAGCACTTTGGGAGGCCGAGGTGCGTGGATCACCTGAGGTCAGGAGTTGGAGACCAGCCTGACCAATATGGTGAAACCCCATCTCTACTAAAAATACAAAAATTAGCCGGGCGTGGTGGTGGGTGCCTGTAGTCCCAGCTACTCGGGAGGCTGAGGCAGGAGAATTGCTTGAATGCGGGAGGCAGAAATTACAGTGAGCCGAGATTGCGCCACTGCACTCCAGCATGGGCAATAGAGTGGACTCCGTCTCAAGTAAACAAACAAACAAATGAACAAAAAACAAAATCATACTATCTATTACTTTTGTAATGAAGAATACTTACCTGTTTTCCTTCTCTTTGTGAGTTTGCAATAAAGTCCTCTCGATTTGCTTTAACTTGGCATGTGTCTTTCAGAGATATTGGAGAGCACTGGGAGGCATTCCTTAAAGGTAGATGAGGCAAAGAACCAAGACAAGGGGCTCTGGCTCTAACACTCTTGGTGGGTTCTAGAGATCAGATTATGAACACAGGAAAAGGAGAAGATAAATGGGATGAAGAAGCCAATTCCAACATATTACATAGCATGCTTATATGAAGGACTTGGCTTTCGTAAAGTAAGAACTGACAGCTTTTTTCTTGATGGCCATCCACTTTTTAGTCTGTGTCTCAGAAAGTGTAGAGGTCGAGGAATCGGGGGCCCCTGGGACTCTTGGGTCATAGACACATTAGGAAAACCCACCTCAGCTGGGGAAGCTGACTCAGCGCCAGCACTCCAGGCCCCAGAGGAGCAGTCACCCCTGGAAAGAGGGAAGAGCAGCAGCAGCAACGGAAGGTCACGTCTCCTCACAAGAACTCACAAAGTCTCGCTAATGTTATGACTGTACTTTCTGAAACCCAATTTGTCTTTGTTCATACCTTTTCCCTTCCTGCTAGTCACATTTTTTCTGGTGAGAGAAAGTGAAATTGCCATTTTTAATATCAGCCAGTCACTTTCAGTTTGAAATGCAGTCTGTTTCTTGGTAACCTCAGATACTTTGGCACTCCCCACCTCCGATCTCTTCTGTTCTCTCTAGTAGGGGAGGATGTCTGGCTTCTGGGCTGATCTCTGCCTTTGCTGAGCACCCCTGAGATCATCCCACTTGGGCTTGTGTCTTAGTCCGTTTGTACTAACAAAACACCTGAGACTGGGTAATTTCTAAGGAGCAGAAATTTATTTCTTAGAGCTCTGGAGGCCGTGAGGTCCAGGATCAAGGCGCTGGCCTTGGTGCCCGGTGAGAAGTGCTCTCTGCTTCCAAGATGGTGCCTTGTTGCCATGTCCTCACATGGCCCATGGCAGATAGGCAAGAGAGAGCACCCCCTTGAACCCGGAGCCCTTTTACAAGTGTGTGAATCCCATTCATCACCCCACAAACTCAATCACCCCACAAACACCACACCCCTGAATACTATTGTATTGGGGGATTAAGTTCTTTTTAAATTTTTATTTATTTGCGTATTTTTATTTATTTATTTATTTGGAGACAGGATTTGGCTCTGTCACCCAGGCTGAAGTGCAGTGACACAATCTCAGTTCACTGCAAGCCTTGACTTCCTGGGTTCAGAAGATCCTCCCACCTCAGCCTCCCCAGTAGCTGGGGACCACAGGTGATTTCAACTTGAAATCATTCATGCAATTTTAGTTTGGAATTCAGTGCTGTGAGTTCCAGTCCACTTAAGTGAGCTTTGGGTATTTAATGGAAGCAATTATTTTTCTTAAATGTACAAGAGTAAATTATTATTATTTTTTTTTGCATGAATGATGTATGGAAAATCACCGCGTTTTACTTTTGTGAGTTGACTTATTTATTTGTGTTGATTTTGATATTCCCAAATCTGAAACAAAATTTTTTCAGAATGCATAATAACACACAGAGTATGGTGGTCTTTCATTGACAAGTTTTTATGTATGATTAGAGTATCTTTTCAAGATTCATAATCTGCATTTTTTTAATATAGGGTCTCACTCTGTCACCCAGGCTGGAGTGCAGTGGCACAGTCCTAGCTCACTGCAGCCTCAATTTCCTGGGCTCAAGCGATCCTCCCACCTCAGCGTCCTGAGTAGCTGGTACTACAGGCATGCACCACCACATCCGTCTATTTTTTAATTTTTTGTGGAGATGGGGTCTCACTATGTTGCCCAGGCTGCTCTTGGCCTCCTGGCTTCAAGTGATCCTCCTGCCTCAAACCTCCCAAAGCGTTGGGATTACAGGTGTGAGCCACTGAAACTGGCCTGACCTACAATTTGAATACTACTGTACAGTTTACATTTTGCTGTCAGGTATTATTTTATTTATTTTTTCCTCTCTACAATAATGTATTATAGATCAGGTCTTGTTTTATTTGAGCCTCACAGGAAAGCTGAGGTGAGGGTCGCAGGCAAGGAGTCGGACCACAGGAGTGGTCGCAGCATTCAGCGGAGAGTGAAGCAGCGAAGGCTGGAAACCTCATCTGCTTCTCGTGAACTTCCCACTGCCCCAAGTGACTGATGTCCTTACACAATTGCAGCCAGTTCGCCAGCTGCATGAGTGACAGTGGCATAATTGACGATTGCCAAAAACGGAAACAGCCCAACTGTCCTTTGCCTAGGGAATAGAAAACCAAATTGTGGCCTATCCAACCCATGAAATACTTAACTGCAGTAAAAAGGAATAAGCTACTGATCTGAATCTCACAGGCATCATATGAAGTGAGCGGACTCGCTCACCAAAGGCTGCACACTGTTTATGTGATGCTCTGGAAAAGGTAATGCTTTAGCAGGTGGAAGAAGTGGGGCTGCGGGTGGGGACAGAGGCTGACTATGTGGCAGCACAGTGGGTGGGGACAGAGGCTGCACAGGGAGCATGTGCAGCTGATGCAGGTGCTCTGTGTGGGCTGTGGTGGTGGGTAGCTATATGCTTGTGAGCACTCACAGGCCTGTGCATGAAAAAGGTGCGAATATTTATTTTATTGTACATATTTCAGGTGTATAACATGGCAGTTTGATATACATAGTGAAATGATTGCTGCAGTCAAGCAAATTAACATGAGTTAACATAGCCACCATCTCACATAATAATCTTTCTTGTGGGTGGTAAAAACATCTAAAATCTCTCTTAGCAAATTTCAGGTTTATAATATTTTTAACTATCGTTCCCACACTGTTTGTTAGATCTCTCGGCTTATTTATCCTACATAACCGAAATTTCGTACCCTTTGACCGTCATTTTATTTCCTCTACCCCGGTAACTCTCTGTTTCTATATATTCAACTATTTTTTTTTGAGACAGGATCTCGGTCTGTCACTCAGGCTGGAGTGCAGTGGTGTGATCTCGGCTCACTGCAGCCTCGACCTCCCAGACTCAAGCAATCCTCCCACCTCAGCCTCCCAGCCTCTCAAGTAGCTGGGGTGACATGTGCACACCACTGCACCTGGCTTCCTTCCCTCCCTCCCTCCTTTCTTTTCTTTTTTTCATTTTTTTGGTAGAGGTGAAGCCTCACTATCTTGCCCAGGCTGGTCTCAAGCTCTTGGGCTCAAGTGATCCACTCACCTCAGCCTCCCAAAGTGCTGGGATTACAGGTGTGAGGCACCACTCCTGGCCTAACTTTTTTTTTTTTTTTTTTTAAGGTTCCACATATGAGTGAGATCATGTAGTGTTTGTCTTTCTGTGCCTGGCTTATTATGCTTTGTGTAAAGTCCACCGGGTTCATCTATGTTGTGGCAAATAGCAGAGTCTCAATTTTTAATACTAACTAAGATTGTATTGTGTATATATGCCCCAAACTCTTTATTTATTCATCTGTCAATAGACACTTGGGTTGTTTGCCTATCTGGACCATGGTGAATAATGCTGCTATGAACATGAGTGCACAGATGTCTTTGTGAGGTGGTGATTTTATTTCCTTTGGATACACACTCAGAAGAAGGATTGCTGGGTCATACGGTAGTTCTATTTTTAATTTCTTTAGGAACCTCCATATTGTTTTCTGCAATGGCTGCACCAATCTGCATTCCCAGCAGCAATGTGCAAGGGTTCCCTGTTCTTCACGCCCTAGCCAATGTTTGTCTCTTGTCATTTTGCTAATAGCCATCCTAACAGGTTTGAGGTGGTACCTCATTGTGGGTTTGGTTTGCATTTCCCTGATGATTAGTGATGTTGAGCACTTTTTTGTATACATGTTGACCATTTTTGTTTCTTTTTTAGAGAAATGTCTATTCAGTTCCTTTCTTCATTTTAAAAATCAGATTATTTGTTTTATGCTTTGAGTTGTGTGAATTCCTTACATATTTTGCATATTAACTACTTATCTGATATATGGCTTAAAACTATTTTCTTCCAATTTGTTGGCTACCTTTTCACTCTGTTGATTGTTTCTTTTGCTATACAGGAGCTTTTTACTTTGATGTATTCCCACTTATTTATCTTTACTTTTGTTCCTTTGCTTTTGTTGAGACATTAAAAATATCCATGCCAAGGCTAATATCAAGAAGTTTTCTCCTCTGTTTTCTATTTTTTATATTTAGTTTTTTATCTGTTTAGAGATTGGGTCTCATTCTGTTACCCAGGCTGGAATGCAGTAGTGTCATTATAGCTCACTGTAACCTCAAATTCCTGGGCTCAAGTGATCTTCTTGCCTCGGCCTCCTGAGTAGCTGGGCTACAGGTGCACAGCACCATGCCTGGCTAATTTTTTTTTTTTTAATTTTGTAGACACAAAGTCTCACTATGTTGCCCAGGCTGACTGTGAACTTCTGGCCTCAGGTGATCCTCCTGCCTCAGCCTCCCAGAGTGCTGGGATTACAGGCATGAGCCACCATGCCTGGCTTCTTCTCTATTTTCTTCTAGGAGTTTTACAGTTTTAGATCTTATGTTTAGATCTTTAATCCATTTTGAGTTGGTTTTTGTGTGTGCCAAGTTTTATTCTTTTGCGTGTGGAAATCCAGTTTCACCAAAAGCTTAATTTTTCAAAATCTTATATTTTTCTTGATTTTTTTTTCACACTTCTATAGCCAACATCTTTATTGAAGAGATTGTCCTTTCTCCATTGTGTCTTCTTGGTGACCTTGTCAAAGAATTAGTTGACTGCATATACTTGAGTTTATTTCTGTTCCACTGGTCTATGGGTCTGTTTTTATAAAGGCATGGATTTTTACTGCATATGAATTATACCTAAATTTGTCTTTTTTTTTTCCTTTTTCTGGAGAATGGGGTCTCACTATATTGCCCAGGCAGGTCTCGAACTCCTGGGCTCAAGCTATCCTCCCGCCTCTTGCCTCCCTGAGAGCTGGGATTACAGGCGTGAGCCACTGCGCCCGGCTGAATTATACCTAAATTAACTTGACTAAACAAACAAAAACAAAAAGATCCCAGGTTCAGCCAATGAGCTCCTTTTTTTTTTTTTGAAATGGAGTCTTGCTCTTGTCACCCAGGCTGGAGTGCAGTGGCACAATCTCAGCTCACTGCAGCCTCCACCTCCCAGGTTCAAGTGATTCTCTTGCCTCAGCTTCCTGAGTAGCTGGGATTACAGGTGCCCGCCACCACACCCAGCTATTTTTTTTTATATTTTTAGTAGAGATGGGGTTTCGTCATGTTGGCCAGGCTGGTCTCAAACTCCTGACCTTGTGATCTGCCTGCCTTGGCCTCTCAAAGTGCTGGGATTACAGGCATGAGCCACTGCACCCAGGCTGAGCTCCTTTCTTTTGGAGCATATTTGGTCTGCTTTCTCTCTAGCTTCAGCACCTGAAGTTTTTGCTGCTCCTGCCTCAGCTCCAGCCCCGAATGACACCTTTCACCTGGTTCATGGAGACTCAGGTCTGCTGTCATGCCCCTAAGCAGGACTAGATGCCTCTCTCATGTTGTAGAGCATTCTCTCTGCAGTTCTGTAGAAAGGTGGTAGTCATCGGAACCAACTGCTTATTCTAGCTTCTCTGTGCCAGGCTCTGTTTTAAAGGCCTCACGTTTAGCCATTCACTCAGTGTTTTCTGACAGCCTTCTAGGATAGGTACCGTTATTTGGGTTGATGTAGTGCTTGGTCAAATGCAGTATAATGAAGGGATCAAGGAGGGGGCAATTCCAAGCAAAACCACTTGTTCATCCATCCTGAGTCTAGGAGATTTGGAAGATCTAAAGAAGTAGCAGGCAATTATTGTCACCCTTTTACAGGTATGAGGCACAGACAGACCCAGTCATTTGCTGACATCCCTCCACTGAACTGGGTGCTCGTCCTTTTCACTCACCCAGAGGCTGAGCGAGTGCCTCTCACCCACCAAGCTCTGTTGAACTTGTGCCTTTGCCGGTCTGTGGTCCTGCGGCCGTCTCATGAGCTGCAGAGTAGGTCTGTGTGTGTCTCTCCTCAAGCTACTCAAGCTGAGGCTTTGTGTGCATGCCTGCCACATACCAGCCATTCCGTGAGTGTTAGTGGAACAGGTGAGTCAATGAGTCAGGGAGTAAAATTTGTGCTTTAAAAGTAGAACATGTCGGAGAGAACCTGTACTGCCTTCCAGCCATCTTGCTGTGAGAGGACAGGGCATGGACTCTGGAGTTTGAAGGCTGGGTCAGGTCATGCTCTGGATTCTTTACTCACTCGCATGGCATGTCCTTAGTTTCACTTCCCTCACTCTCAGTGGAGCCGTTGCAGCGGGCAGTGTCAGAGGCAACATCCATTTAGCACTGCCGATTTGACCCCCAGCCCCATCTCATACTGGCCTCCCACCCTGCTTCTGTGGGGTGCCTCAGAGGAGAGCAAGGTGAACCCCAGTATGGAACCGAGACACGGTTTTGACAACACTGTTGATCCCATTTGGAAAATCCAGCTATGTGATTAACCATTAGTCTCTCTGCCTCTGCTCTGATGTAAGTGGAGACCACATCCTTCCTGCCCCTTCTGGGGCTGCGACTGCTATAAATTCATTGCATTTCCTCTCTAGCTGTTCCTGAGGCTGGCATCTGGGTAAGTCCAGCTCCGCGGGGCAGTGTGGGCGACAGGACCGGGAGAGCAGTGGGGGAGATTGTGTTCAGAGGGCAGAACTTGTCCTGGTTAATGCACTAGGAATTTCTTCTGGCGTCTCCAAGGTTGTGCTTCAACAACATTTCTGGAATGTTCTTTTATCATTATTTGGGCTCTACGTGTGCAAGTTCGTGTGTGTGTATGTGGCGGGGGGAAGCGGGGAGGACAGCGGCAGCAACCATAGTTTACACCCACGACTTCAGCAGATTTGCCCAGTATCCCTCCCAGGGGAGAAGATGGATGGGATATACAGAAGGAAACAAACCTCCTTAAAGACCAAAGGGCAGCAGATTTTTGTGCTGGTGTTAGGGTGGAAGGAGCACAGAAGAAAGGCAGAATCCTGATGCAGATGGAAGGACTGATGGGGCAGGAGCTGGGAGGGTATGCGGAGCTAATAGGGCTGTCTGGAGAGCAGTCACCTCAGGATGGGCAGGAGCTGGGAGGGTATGCGGAGCTAATAGGGCTGTCTGGAGAGCAGTCACCTCAGGATGCACAGGGCTGGGTTTGCAGGGCTCAGGAGGCGAGGAGTAGATAGGCAGGAATGGAGATGGGACGGGAGAGATGAGTGAGTCTGAGGCATCTTGACATTGAACTGCAGTCACAGAAATTCCAATTTGGAGAGCTCCACCGTTTTCCAGGCTCTCTGCCTCCCTTGAGTGTTATTTATGGCTTTAGGTTGAGGTGCTTTGCCAAATAGAGTATAATCAAGGGATCAAGGAGGGAACAATTCCAAACAAAGCCAACTTGTTCATCCATCCGGACTCTAGGAGATATGGAAGATCTAAAGATACAGCAGGTGATTGCTAGTTTTTGTGGAACTCACAGTCTAGTTGGGAAGACTATGTTGGTGAATGCTGCAGTGATACACCTGTGATAAATGCTGGGGAAGTGTGTCTTTTAGTCATCTATTTTGTTGTCTTTGTCTTTGTCTGACTGAAACAAGTGATGGAAGACATGGTCTCATATCTCTGGTCAAAATCCTGGCTCTGTTCCTTCCTGGTTCTAAACCCCTCGGCAGGCTTCCTAGTCCCCCTAAGACTCAGTTTATGCATCTATAAAATGGGGCTAGGAATAGGTGCACCTCATAGAGCTCTGTGCAGGTTAGATGGGGAAAAACATCAGTGAGTGCCTAGCCTGTGGAAAGCTCTAAATTAATGTGAATTATAATGATAACAATTGCGAATTTTGCAAGGAGACATTAAAGGATGTATGTTTTTATTTATTTTATTTTATTCTATTTTATTTTTTGAGATGGAGTTTTGCTCTTATTGCCCAGGCTGGAGTGCAGTGGTGTGATCTTGGCTCATCGCAACCTCCGCCTCCTGGGTTCAAGCGATTCTCCTGCCTCAGCCTCCCGAGTAGCTGGGATTACAGGTGCCTGGTACCATGCCCGGTTAATTTTTGTATTTTTAGTAGAGACGGGATTTCTCCCTGTTGTTTGGTGAGCCTGGTCTCCAACTCCTGACCTCAGGTGATCCGCCCACCTCGGCCTCCCAAAGTGCTGGGATTACAGGGATGTATGTTTTTATTATTCTCCATTATGCACTCCCAGCTTCATCTCACTTCAATCCACTGGTTGATAGAAGTGCAGTCAAAGACTGTCCCCTCCTCTGCAAGCTTTTATGTTCTCTCTCCTCTCTCCCTAGCCACGTCCTGTTCTGTTATCAACACACTTACTCACCTCCTGGCCTTCTCCTTCTATTGTCTCTCATCCCTCTTCCCTCACAAAAACAGAAGCAAAGAGCCAGAGCCTTCAGTTTGGAGGAACTGAAAACATTCTCTTCTGCTTTCTCATTTTGTAGATGAGGAAACTGAAGTTGAGGAATAGTGAAGAGTTTGTCCAATGTCATAGCCCCGTAATCAACGGGACAAAAATTTTCTTGCTGATGGGTCAAGATGGCATCGTGAAGTGGTTGTTCACCGTAAACTGTAATACAATCCTGTTTATGGATTTGTTTGCATATTTTTCCCTCCATAGGGAAACCTTTCTTCCATGGCTCAGGACACACTCCTGGATCGAGCCAACAGGAGAACTTTCTGGTAAGCATTTGGCTAACTTTTTTTTTTTTGAGATGGAGTCTTGCTGTGTCGCCTAGGCTGGAGTGCAGTGGCGTGATCTTGGCTCACTGCAGCCTCCACTTCCCGGGTTCAATCAATTCTCCTACCTCAACTTCCTGAGTAGCTGGGATTACAGGCGCCCGCCACCACACCCGGCTCATTTTTGTACTTTTAGTAGAGACACAGTTTTGCCATGTTGGCCAGGCTGGTCTTGAATTCCTCAGCTCAGGTGATCTGCCTGCCTTGGCCTCTCAAAGTGCTGGGATTACAGGCGTGAGCCACTGTGCCCGGCCTTGGCTAACTTTTCAAAATTAAAGATTTTGACTTGTTACAGTCATGTGACATTTTTTTCTTTCTGTTTGCTGAGTTTTTGATAATTTATATCTCTCAAAGTGGAGACTTTAAAAAAGACTCATCCGTGTGCCGTGTTCACTGCCTGGTATCTTAGTGTGGACCGAAGCCTAAGGACCCTGAAAACAGCTGCAGATGAAGATGGCAAGCACCCGCTGCAAGCTGGCCAGGTACCTGGAGGACCTGGAGGATGTGGACTTGAAGAAATTTAAGATGCACTTAGAGGACTATCCTCCCCAGAAGGGCTGCATCCCCCTCCCGAGGGGTCAGACAGAGAAGGCAGACCATGTGGATCTAGCCACGCTAATGATCGACTTCAATGGGGAGGAGAAGGCGTGGGCCATGGCCGTGTGGATCTTCGCTGCGATCAACAGGAGAGACCTTTATGAGAAAGCAAAAAGAGATGAGCCGAAGTGGGGTGAGTGGAAGGAAGACTTTTAAAAAAAATTGTGGCCAAGTGCACATAGTGTACAATTTTCCATCTTTATATATATATATATATATATTTTTTTTTGAGACGGAGTTGCTCTTGTTGCCCAGGCTGGAGTGCAATGGTGAGATCTTGGCTCACTGCAACCTCCACCTCCCGGGTTCAAGCGATTTTCCTGCCTCAGCCTCCCAAGTAGCTGGGATTACAGGCATTGCACCTCCACGCCCGGCTAATTTTGTATTTTTAGTAGAGATGGGGTTTCTCCATGTTGGTCAGGTTGGTCTCAAACTCCCGACCTCAGGTGATCCACCCGCCTCGGCCTCGCAAAGTGCTGGAATTACAGGTGTGAGCCACCGCGCCCGGCCGTAATAATTTTTAAATGTACAGTTCAGTAGTGTTAGGTACACTCACATTGTGCAACCAGTCTCCAGAACTGTTTTCATCTTGCAAAACTGAAACTCCTCACCCATTGAATGATAACTCCTCATTGCCTCATTCTCCCAGCCCTGGTAACCACCATTCTATTTGCCATCTCTGTGAATCTTACTACTCTGGGTACCTCATATAAGTGGAAACATACAGCATTTTTTCCTTTATGAGTAGTTTATTTCACTCAGCATAATGTCCTCCGGGTTCAACTATGTTGTAGCATGTGTCGGAATTCCCTTCCTTTAAAAAAGACTGTATAAATACTCCATGGTACCATATACCAAATTTTGTTTAGTTATCTGTTGATGAACACCTGGATTACTTCTACCTTTTTGTTATTGTTAATGCTGTTATGAGTGTTGGTGCACAAATATCTCTTCAAGACCCTGCTTTGAATTCTCTGGGGTATATACTCAGAAGTGAAATTTCTGAATCATACGGTAATTCTGTTAAATATTTTGAAGAACTGCTCTACTGTTTTAGATACCATCTGCACCATTTCCCACCAACAGCACACAAGGGTTCCAATTTCTCCATATCCTAAGAACACGTTATTTTTATTTATTTTTTCTTTTTTATAGTAGCCATTCTAATGAGTGTGAGGTGGTATCTCACTGTAGTTTTGATTTCCGTTTCCCTAATGATAAGTGATGCTGAGCACATTTTCACTGCTTGTTGGCCATTTATAGAGCTTCTTCAGAGAAAGTTCTGTTCAAGTTCTTTTCTCATTTTCAGACCAGGTTTGGCTTTTGTTGTTGCCTTGTAGGAGTTCTTTATGTATTCTAGATATTAACCCCATATCAGATATATGATTTACAAATATTTTCTCCTATTCTGTGGGTTGTCTTTTCATTTGGTTAACTGTGTCCTTTGATGCACAGAAGTTAGTATGATTTTTTTTTTTTTAAATCATGGCCGGGCATGGTGGCTCATGCCTGTAATTCCAGCACTTTGTGAGGCTGAGGTGGGTGGATCACCTGAGGTCAGGAGTTCAACACCAGCCTGGCCAACATGGCAAAACCCCATCTCTACTAAAAATACAAAAAAAATTAGCCGGGTGTGGTGGTGGGCACCTGTAATCCCAGCTACTCAGGAGGCTGAGGTAGGAGAATTGCTTGAACATGGGGAGTGGAGGTTGCAGTGAGCTGAGATTGCACCACGGCACTCCAGCCTGGGCTAAAGAGCAAGACCCTGTTTCAAAAAAAAATTTTTTTTTCTTGTATTGTCTTGGTTTTTTCTCTTTTCCCCTCTCACGGTAGTGCTATGAGAAGGTGGAGGCAAACTGTTTGCTTTCTCTAACTCCTTTAAAAAGCTGATGCAGACTGTACCTACCCCCTGGGCACCTGCCATGATTAGTCCCTCTTTATCTGAATCTCAGCAGTGCCTAGACCTGCCTCCAATTCTCCATCCAGCTTCTCAGACCACATGTTTTGTCCAGTATCTGCTGTGTGGTCAGCAGGCTTGGGCCTCTGCTTCCTATGGCCCAGAGGGCAGCCTCTCTCCTTGAAGAACCGTGGAGTTTGGGGCAGAAGCCTTTCCTTTCACCACCACTTTGGGAATTGGAATGTAAAAGAAATTCTCTTAATCCCCATGTACACATTGGGGATAAGGTTCTTTCTTTTGTCTTGTGTTCTAGGCAAAGGTAGGGCTCAGAGAAGGGCAGGGTATTGCAGGATGATGATGTAGAGCTGGTGGTGATGGGAAGGAGGAGTACAAATGAGTCAGTGGATAGGGAGACACATGTTAAGGCAGGGCAGCAGTGTGGGTGTAATGACACTGGGGAAACAGACAGCAGTGTGCAGCCGGGGGAGGTCAGAAACCAGTTGCTGCAATGGCTCTCACCTGTAGTCCCAGCTACTCAGGAGGCTAAGGCAGGAGGATCGCTTGAGCCCAGGAGCTCAAAACCAGCCTGAGCAACATAGGGAGACCTCATCTCTAAGTAAATAAAGCAATTATCATTGTGTCAGTACTTATATACTCACATACCCAAATGAAAGTGTCATAATCACAACTGTAGAAGTACTTTGCTAAGCAGTTTTTATGGATTTTATGGCACATTCAAGAAACCCATGAAACAGCTTCTGGTATTATCCCTCCTGCAAGTGAATGAGGTGAGCCTGGAAGAGATCCTAACTGGCCCATGGTTTATTTCTAGCCATAACCAGAGCTGGGGTAAAAAGCAGGGCATGTCTCTGATCAAAGCCTGGCTCTTAACCACTACACCGTCTTTGCTTCCATATCTGGATTTTGAGGCAGAAAAGTTATAACTAGGGTTAGAAGTTTGTTTGTTTGTTTCCTGGGGTGGGGTTAGGTTTTAGGTAATAGACTTTGGCTAATTTACTGTCATGGCTCCTACCTGAGTCCCAGTTACTCAGGTGGCTGAAGTGGGTGCATCACTTGAGCTCAGGAGTTCCAGGCTGGAGTGAGCTATGACCATGCCACTGCCCTCCAGCTTTGGAAACAAAGCAAGACTCTGTCTCTTAAAAAAAAAGAATAAGATTTTGGTTTTGGCTTAGATTTTTTGGATTTTATTTTGTGATATGGTTACCAAGTAGACAGCTGTCAGAGGTCTTTTATGGGCTGGGCGCAGTGGCTTATGCCTGTAATCCCAGCACTTCAGGAGGCCAAGATGGGAGGATTGCTTGAGCCCAGGAGTTTGAGACCAGCCTGGGCAACATAGTGAGAACCTGTCTCTACAAAAAATGCAAACATTAGTTAGGTGTGGTGGCACGTGTCAATAGTCCCAGCTGTTCTGGAGGCTGAGGTGGGAGGATCACTTGAGCCCAGGAGGTTGAGGCTGCAGGGAGCCATGATTGTGTCATTGCACTCCAGCCTGGGCAATAGAGTGAGGCCCTGTCTCAAAAAAAAAAAAAAAATCATTTATGTTACTTGTAGATTCCTGCCCACCTGAAGTTATCTGTCTTATATATTTCCCCTAGTGACTAACTCTTGTTTTACCTAACCTGAATTTCTCCTATAGAATGCCTTCTTAAGATATGCTATCTAGTGACTGTTTGGATTTGTGATTCTCAACACAGATGCATGTTGGAATCACCTGGGAGCTTTTAGTATGTGATGGTTCCTGGGCCTCACCTCAGAGGGACTGAAAAAGAACCTCTGGGCGTGCAGTCCTGAAGTCCATATTTTTAAAGCTTCCTGGGTGATTCTAAAGTCAGCCAGGATTCCCAACCACTAGATTAGGCACGAAATAGACTGGTCGTTCTCACTCTTGAAGAACCAGACATCTAGACTTGACAATAGAAGACGTGTGTAAAATGGATTGCAGGGAACTGCGGTCAGGGAAGGGTGACCTTTCTTAGCCCACAGCCGTGTTGGGGATATAGGAGAGCTTGGAGATGCCCTCACAATCAGGCTGCCAGGGGCAGGCAAAAGCAAACGAGGGTAAAAGAAACTTAGCCTGCTTCGCATGTTTGCTGATTGATTTCCAGGCCTGAGGAAGAGATTCTGAGACTGGGGACAGTGGGAACACATGCTTGGCAGGTGGACAGCAGAAGTTGTTTTGAAACTAGGAGTGCAGAAATGCTCCCAACCAGACTTTTGACTGGATACCTGTCCTCTGCAACTCAGAGCCATGTTTTGATTTGGGGGATGTTTGGGGTCTCCTCTCTCATGCCAAATATTAGGCCAGGTTTCAATTGCATCCTCTGTGATAATAGTTCTGGGTTTTGACACCTTTTTTTTCCCTTTTAGGTTCAGATAATGCACGTGTTTCGAATCCCACTGTGATATGCCAGGAAGACAGCATTGAAGAGGAGTGGATGGGTTTACTGGAGTACCTTTCGAGAATCTCTATTTGTAAAATGAAGAAAGGTAAGCGACTGGGGTGGTGCTTCTAGTTGAGTTTTAAGACCTGGTTCAGGAGGCTCTGGGAAGCTGAGCAGCTGGGTAACTTGGCCATACTATAGGTTCCTGCTCTTTGGAATGCAAAGGCCTGTCTCAGGAAATCCATTGTCAGTTGAAGAAACAAATTCATGTTTGTGTGGCTCTTGCAGTCCCAGAGCCAGCGGCGGTGATTAAGCGTTTCAAGTTTGATAAGGCATAGGATGCAGATTACTTAAAGGAATAAGATTGATTCAAATGATCTTTGGGCTGGTAGCTACACATAGAGATGGGCCTTCTGCTCAGCTGTGTATCTTAAAAACTTGACACCAGAGATTCTCGGCACCTTTCCTACCCAGTGGGGAGGAGCTGCACCTTCCATTTCTCCATTCCGGTTACCACTCGCTTCCGATGACAGGCCCCAGCTGAGAGCGCATCTCAGGTGGATGTGTGTATACTTTCCCCCTAACTTCCTGTCTTTGCCGTAGATTACCGTAAGAAGTACAGAAAGTACGTGAGAAGCAGATTCCAGTGCATTGAAGACAGGAATGCCCGTCTGGGTGAGAGTGTGAGCCTCAACAAACGCTACACACGACTGCGTCTCATCAAGGAGCACCGGAGCCAGCAGGAGAGGGAGCAGGAGCTTCTGGCCATCGGCAAGACCAAGACGTGTGAGAGCCCCGTGAGTCCCATTAAGATGGAGTTGCTGTTTGACCCCGATGATGAGCATTCTGAGCCTGTGCACACCGTGGTGTTCCAGGGGGCGGCAGGGATTGGGAAAACAATCCTGGCCAGGAAGATGATGTTGGACTGGGCGTCGGGGACACTCTACCAAGACAGGTTTGACTATCTGTTCTATATCCACTGTCGAGAGGTGAGCCTTGTGACACAGAGGAGCCTGGGGGACCTGATCATGAGCTGCTGCCCCGACCCAAACCCACCCATCCACAAGATCGTGAGAAAACCCTCCAGAATCCTCTTCCTCATGGACGGCTTCGATGAGCTGCAAGGTGCCTTTGACGAGCACATAGGACCGCTCTGCACTGACTGGCAGAAGGCCGAGCGGGGAGACATTCTCCTGAGCAGCCTCATCAGAAAGAAGCTGCTTCCCGAGGCCTCTCTGCTCATCACCACGAGACCTGTGGCCCTGGAGAAACTGCAGCACTTGCTGGACCATCCTCGGCATGTGGAGATCCTGGGTTTCTCCGAGGCCAAAAGGAAAGAGTACTTCTTCAAGTACTTCTCTGATGAGGCCCAAGCCAGGGCAGCCTTCAGTCTGATTCAGGAGAACGAGGTCCTCTTCACCATGTGCTTCATCCCCCTGGTCTGCTGGATCGTGTGCACTGGACTGAAACAGCAGATGGAGAGTGGCAAGAGCCTTGCCCAGACATCCAAGACCACCACCGCGGTGTACGTCTTCTTCCTTTCCAGTTTGCTGCAGCCCCGGGGAGGGAGCCAGGAGCACGGCCTCTGCGCCCACCTCTGGGGGCTCTGCTCTTTGGCTGCAGATGGAATCTGGAACCAGAAAATCCTGTTTGAGGAGTCCGACCTCAGGAATCATGGACTGCAGAAGGCGGATGTGTCTGCTTTCCTGAGGATGAACCTGTTCCAAAAGGAAGTGGACTGCGAGAAGTTCTACAGCTTCATCCACATGACTTTCCAGGAGTTCTTTGCCGCCATGTACTACCTGCTGGAAGAGGAAAAGGAAGGAAGGACGAACGTTCCAGGGAGTCGTTTGAAGCTTCCCAGCCGAGACGTGACAGTCCTTCTGGAAAACTATGGCAAATTCGAAAAGGGGTATTTGATTTTTGTTGTACGTTTCCTCTTTGGCCTGGTAAACCAGGAGAGGACCTCCTACTTGGAGAAGAAATTAAGTTGCAAGATCTCTCAGCAAATCAGGCTGGAGCTGCTGAAATGGATTGAAGTGAAAGCCAAAGCTAAAAAGCTGCAGATCCAGCCCAGCCAGCTGGAATTGTTCTACTGTTTGTACGAGATGCAGGAGGAGGACTTCGTGCAAAGGGCCATGGACTATTTCCCCAAGATTGAGATCAATCTCTCCACCAGAATGGACCACATGGTTTCTTCCTTTTGCATTGAGAACTGTCATCGGGTGGAGTCACTGTCCCTGGGGTTTCTCCATAACATGCCCAAGGAGGAAGAGGAGGAGGAAAAGGAAGGCCGACACCTTGATATGGTGCAGTGTGTCCTCCCAAGCTCCTCTCATGCTGCCTGTTCTCATGGGTAAGGAAACTCGGCTTCCAGGTGCTTCCTCCTGCTTCCTCGCCAGCTTCTTCTTGGCGCTTGCCTCCTCTCATCTCTTTTCAACTATCTTCCAAATACTGTTGCCACAGCTACATCATAATGCCACCACTGTCTGTTTGAGACTCCTTCATGAGCAAAGATTGATGTATGGTAGGTGGATAAATGGGATGAGGAAAAAAAAAATAAAACAAGGAACAAATGTTTGGGGAATGCCAGTTTAGCACAAGGTATTAAGTAGGATGTAGGATTGCCTACAAATATTTGTCAACTGAAATTTCTTGTAAGCTACTTGGAGCACTAGTGCCTAAGAGTCAGTCAATGTCTGTGGGGCAGAACAATGCCAGAGAGTCTGTGTCCCAGGAGCGAGGGGACAGAGGGCCTCAGAGCTGGAGGCTGGGGGGATGTTTCTTAGAAATGTGCAATCTAAGCCTCCTTTAAGGAATGGTGGGACCTGGGCGCATAGAGAAGAAATTAAAGGAATTCTGCACTGAAGACTGGTATGAGCCAAATCATGAATGCAGTCTGAGAAAAAGTGTGTGCAGGTGACAGTGGAGAGAGACACAGTTTCCTTGGAAAAAAACATGATGAAGGTAAATCAAGGGAAATAGAGCAGAAATGTGGAGACCCTCTTTCTAGGCCCCCATGTTGCTCTGCACTGGGCATTGCCAAAACCCCGTTTTCGGGTCTGTTCACACACTTGCTGGGTGGTTGGAAGCTAGTGGCCAAGTCTGTGCAATGAAGTGGTTGAGTCACCTGACTTCTGAGTCCCTTTTGGGTTTATCGTTCAGTGCCTCCTGCAGAAGGACCACCCACAGTGGTTGTAGGAAGGTGGCCACCCTGTGATGTGTGAGTTTAGCCTGGATAGAAGACACTTGACGTGGGGCAAAATTAAGGGAAACAGGAGGCTTGGCCCTTCCACAGGCAACAATGAGTTTCAGCTTTCTTGATCCGTTGACATTACCATGACCAGGACCACCTTCCTAGTCATGGTTTGGCCATGAAGGACTGACTGCCCACAGGGCCGCAGTGGTGGTGAAGACCCAGGTCCTGGTCACAGGGACTTGAGGTCTGGCTGTGGGACAGTCCGGAAACAAGTGCAGATGTCGGGGAGGGGGTCATGGGCTCTGACAAGGAAACTTGCAGAGTATCCAAAGCACAAGGGGACGAACCTGTTCACCAGCGGGGCACGGGTGGGTGTCCCCGCTCAGCCAGCTTCCGGAGGATGGGCAGTGAGAGAGTGAGAGAAGGAAAGGGGCAGCCAGGCTGGGGGCTTACGGTGTTGAGAGAGAGGGCAGGTGTGGGAAAGCAGGGTACGGTTTCTACGGCAGCAAACAGTTCCGAGTGACTGGAAAAAAGACAGTTGTCTTCATTCATCAGGTTGCCATAACAAAACACTGCAGGCTGGTTGGCTTATAAGCAAAAGGAAGGTTCACCTTACGGTTCTGGAGGCTGGGAAGTCCATGATCCAGGCTCTGGCAGATCTGGTGTTTGGTGAGGGCCTGTTCCCTGGTCGATGGTGCCTTCTCACTGTGTCCTTACATGGTGAAGAGGCAAGGCAGCTCTCTGGGGTCCCTTTCCTAAGGACAGCAATCCCACTCCTGAGGGCTCCACCCTCATAACTTAACCACACCTCAAAGGCCCCATCGCCTGATACGTCATGTTGAGGGTTAGGATTTCAGCGTATGGATTTTGGGGCACACAAACATTCAGACCATAGAAATGGGAGAAGAAGAGTAAGACAGAGAGAAAAGTAGGCAGAACTACTCATTAAGAGTGAGGTGGAAGGTGGAGAGGGCAGGGAGACCTTATGAAGATCACACATCTGTGAGGAAGGTTTGCACACTCTCACTGAAGCCCCGGTAGGAGGCTCAGCACCCATTTCTCTAGATAGCACCTTCCTTCCTCTGAGGACAGATTCTGACTGGAGCCCTGGTAGGGGGCTCAGCACCCATCCCTCTAGATGGCACCTGCCTTACTCTGAGGACAGACTCTCACTGAAGCCCCGGTAGGAGGCTCAGCACCCATTTCTCTAGATAGCACCTTCCTTCCTCTGAGGACAGACTCTGATTGGAGCCCTGGCAGGGGGCTCAGCACCCATTTCTCTAGATAGCACCTTCCTTCCTCTGAGGACAGACTCTCACTGAAGCCCCGGTAGGAGGCTCAGCACCCATTTCTCTAGATAGCACCTTCCTTCCTCTGAGGACAGACTCTGATTGGAGCCCTGGCAGGGGGCTCAGCACCCATCCCTCTAGATGGCACCTGCCTTACTCTGAGGACAGACTCTCACTGAAGCCCCGGTAGGAGGCTCAGCAACCATTTCTCTAGATAGCACCTTCCTTCCTCTGAGGACAGACTCTGATTGGAGCCCTGGCAGGGGGCTCAGCACCCATTTCTCTAGATAGCACCTTCCTTCCTCTGAGGACAGACTCTCACTGAAGCCCCGGTAGGAGGCTCAGCACCCATTTCTCTAGATAGCACCTTCCTTCCTCAGGACAGACTCTGACTGGAACCCTGGTAGGGGGCTCAGCACCCATCCCTCTAGATGGCACCTGCCTTACTCTGAGGACAGACTCTGACGGGAGCCCTGGTAGGGGGCTCAGCACCCATCCCTCTAGATGGCACCTGCCTTACTCTGAGGACAGACTCTGACTGGAGCCCTGGTAGGGGGCTCAGCACCCATCTTTCTAGATGGCAGCTGCCTTACTCTGAGGGCAGGAGCTTGCTTTGTATGTTCCAGTCCCTTCTGAGAACCAGAAGCCTGAGCATCTATTAGAAATGCAGGATTGTGGACCCAATCTTAGACCTAGAGAGCTAGACTTTGCATTTGAATGAGAGCTACAGGTGATTCAAAGGTGACTGCATGTGTGGGTGCAGTGGCTCTTGCCTGTAATCCTAGGTTTTGGGAGGCCAAGATGGGGGGATTGCTTGAAGCCAGGAATTCAAGTCCTACCTGAGCAGCAAAGTGAGAGCACCTCTCTACAGAAAAACAAAAGCAAAAATGTGACTGCATGTTGGAGCCACCTGGCTTTTTTTAAATAAAAAAGATCCATATAGCTGGACACAGTGACTCGTGCCTGTAACCTCAGCTACTCGGGAGGCTGAGGCAAGAGGATTGCTTGAGCCCAGGAGTTTGAGGCTGCAGTGAGCTATGATCATGGCACTGCATTCCAGCTTGGGTTTCATCTGAAAAAAAATTTAAAAAATTCATCTAGTTCCACCTCAGAGCTTCTGATTTTATTTCCATGGATGTGGCCTGGGCTTGCGATTTTCTTTTTCTTTTTTTTTTTTTTGAGATGAAGTCTTGCTCTGTTGCCCAGGCTGGAGTGCTGTGGCATGATCTTGGCTCACTGCAACTTCCACCTCCCAGGTTCAAGTGATTCTCCTGCCTCAGCCTCCCTAATAGCTGGGATGACAGGCTCGTGCCACCACACCCAATTAATTTTTGTATTTTTAGTAGAGAGAGGGTTTCACCATGTTGGCCAGGCTGATCTTGAACTCCTGACCTCAGGTGATCTGCCCGCCTCGGCCTCCCAAAGTGCTGGGATTACAGGTGTGAGCCACCATGCCCAGCCTGGCCTGAGGATTTTTGTGAGCACTCCTGATGCTGTTGTGTAGCCAGGAGTGAGGACTGCCCTCTGATCACCCAGCACAGAACGTTCAGGGCCATGTTGGGACAGTGGACTGGTAAGGGCGAGAGGAGGACACTGGGGAGCAGGCTGTAGGGTGCCACAGTCCGCCACAGTCACAGGCTCATGCTCTCCGTCCGAGAGGAGGCAGAACTGCTTTTACCAAGGCTCATCCAGCCCTCTTCATTTCTCTGGGAACAATTTTTGGTTTCGTGACCCATTTCTTAATCCCCGGAAGGCATTTCTCTGAACTGGTGCCAGGCACCCCGGCCCCCAGCTCCAGTTAGTTATTATTCGAGGCTGATTTCTTTTCTGTCTGTCTTCCTTCTAATTCCTAGATTGGTGAACAGCCACCTCACTTCCAGTTTTTGCCGGGGCCTCTTTTCAGTTCTGAGCACCAGCCAGAGTCTAACTGAATTGGACCTCAGTGACAATTCTCTGGGGGACCCAGGGATGAGAGTGTTGTGTGAAACGCTCCAGCATCCTGGCTGTAACATTCGGAGATTGTGGTGAGTCCCCGTGCATGTGATCTGTGTGAGTGCAAGTTCATATGAGAGAGAGAGAGAGAAACAGACTGGAGAAAGATCTTCAGGACCAGGTTGCTGGTGTGGTTTCTTTCTTTTCTTTTTCTTTTTTTCTTTTTTTGAGGCAGAGTTTTGCTCTTATTGCCCAGGCTGGAGTGCAATGCCGTGACCTCGGCTCACTGCAATCTCTGCCTCCTGGGTTCAAGTGATTCTCCTGCCTCAGCCTCCTGAGTAGCTGGGATTACAGGCACCCACCACCATACCCAGCTAATTTTTTGTATTTTTAGTAGAGATGGGGTTTCATCATGTTGTCCAGGCTAGTCTCGAAGTCCTGACCTCAGGTGATCCGCCCGCCTCGGCCTCCCAAAATGCTGGGATTACAGGCATGAGCCACCGCACCCGGCCGGTGGTGTGGTTTCTGCTGTAACAAAGTGCCACAGACTGAATGGCTTCAACAACAAAAATTCATTTTCTTGCAGTTCTGAGGCCGAAAGTCTAAGATCAAGGTGTCAGCAGGGTTGGTTTCTTCTGAGGCCGCCCTCCTTGGTTTGTAGATGCCCCCTTCTCCCTGTGTACTGATGCCATCTTGCCTTGGGGGGAAGAGTGGCCTAGTCTCCTCTTCTTACAGGGACAGCAGTCCTGATGGATTAGGCACAGTCAGGCATGACTACACAAGACCTAATGTTAATCTAGTCACTCCTTTAAAGACCCCATTTCCCAAAACAGCCACATTATGAGGTCTTGAGGATTAGGGCTTCAACATGTAAATTTTTGGGGGGGCACAGTTCAGCCCAGAACAAGTGAGAAGGTAGAATGGGTTGGAGGCCAGCTGGGGAAGTTTTGTGTGGGGAAGAATGAATGAGGAACTAAAAAAAAAGTCATTTCTTGAAACAACCATGATGCTCGATATATTCCATTTCCTCATGGGCCATGTTCATAGATGAGAGTTGGAGAATTTGCCATTTACAACAATGGCAACCTCACCTAAAAACTATGAAAATACTTTTTTTTTTTTTCTTTGAGACAGGACCTCTCTCTGTCACCCAGGCTGGAGTGTGTGATCACAGCTTACTGCAGCCTCGACCTCCCAGGCTCAAGCAATCCTCCCACCTCAGCTCCCCCGAGTAGCTGGGACTACAGGCATGCACCACCATGCTGGCTAATTTTTGTATTTTTTTTGTAGAGATGTGGTCTCATCACGTTGCCCAGCCTGGTCAGAATGCTTTGTATGGGTTGAAATGTCACAGGGAATCTCCTGTGACTTTATTAATAATGTGCTTGCTCACACCTGTAGTCCCAGCTACTCGGGAGGCTGAGGCAGGAGAACTGTGTGTACCCGGGAGGCGGAGATGGCAGTGAGCCGAGATCGTGCCATTGCACTCCAGCCTGGGTGACAGAGCGAGATTCCATTTCAAAATAATAATAATAATAATAATAATAAAAAATGTGCTTGCTTTCTCCCACACCATGAATCAGATTCACACGCCCCACCGCGCTGGTGCCTGGGCCGCCTCACTAGCTCTGTTTCATTCCCTGCTCTGTGGACGCATGCAGGCGTCTGCATTTTTGAGGAGCTGCACAGCAAGTGTTAAAGTCCGCCACTCTAGGACATTTTGCTACCTCCCTCTCCGGCTCAACACACTCACCTTGTCACCAGTCTTATCAATTTTTCCTCCTACCCGAGCTGTTTTCCACTTTTCCTCGTCCTCACCCCACCAGCCCAGGTCCAGCAACTGTCACCACTTGCCTGGACACGCAGTGACCTCCTAGACCATCAGCTCCCCGGGGATGGGGTTTGCGTTTGTTTGTCTTGCTGTCATCTTTGCCACGCCTGGACAGACATCTTAGTACCCATCAGTGGTCAAAAGCACGCACTGAATGAATGTTGGCTCTTTGGTCTCCCTGTGTCTGCCTTTTTCCCTCACCCGACCATTCTCTGCACAAAAGTAAGATGGTCCTTTAGAAAATTCTGATTCGATTGTGCTGTTCGGTGGCTTAAATGCTTTCTGTCTGCTCTGCTCTTTATTTTTTACTTTATGTATTTATTTTTGTAGATGTAGGGGGCGCAAGAGCAGCTTTGTTTCATGGATATGTTACTGCACAGTGGTAGTGTCTGGGCTTTTACTGTAACTACCCCTTTTTTTTTGAGATGGACTCTCGCCGTGTTGCCCAGGCTGGAGTACAGTGGAGTGATCTCGGCTCACTGCAACATCCACCTCCTGGGTTCAAGCAATTCTTCGAGTAGTTGGGATTACAGGCATGGGCCACCACGCCCAGCTGATTTTTGTATTTTTAGTAGGGACAAGGTTTCACCGTATTGGCTAGGCTGGTCTCAAACTCCTGACCTCGTGATCCACCCGCCTCGGCCTCCCAAAGTGCTGGGATTACAGGCGTGAGCCACCGTGCCCGGCCTTAGTGTAACTCTTACCCAAATAGTGAACATTGTACCCAATAAATAATTTTCCAGCCCTCACCTGGCTCCCACCCTCCCACCCTTCTGAGGCTCTAGTGTCTATCATTCCATGCTCTATGGATGTTACCCTTTGTTTAGCTCCCACTTGTAAGTGAGAACGTGTGGTATTTGACTCTGTTTCTGAGTTGTTTCACTTAAGGTAATGGCCTCCAGTTCCATCTGTGTGGCTTCAAAGATGTGACTTCATTCTTTTCTATGGCTGAGCAGTATTCCATTATGTATATAGATCACACTCTTCATCTTTGCTCTTTTGGTAAATTTCAAATCGTAGTGCCATGGAGACTGGTTGTTTGGGACATTTAACCTTATTTCTCCAACTTCATGCCCAAATTCTCTCCCCACTGCCATTGCCCCTGTATGATTCTGGAGAGGCAGACACAAACAGGGAAGGGTAGGGGACAGTGAGATGCTTCGCAGAGAAGTAGAGATCCATTTGTCCATTTGCTTGAAGTTGGTGTAAGGATAGGGACAGAAAGGAAGGTGGTCTAACAGGCTCCAGGACCTATGAACTATTGCCCTGGAAAGAAGCTAGAATGTTGTTCTTGCCCCCATGACAGGGATAAAGTATAGTTTTTGTTGCTGGTGGTGGTGGTGACGGTGGTAGTGATGTGCGTGTGTGTTTGTGTGCATGTGTGTGACGGGGAAACTAATCAAGAATCAGAGCTGCAGCGGGATGTGGAATCCCAGCACTTTGAGAGGCTGAGGTGGGCAGATCACCTGAGCCCAGGAGTTCAAAACCAGCCTGAGCAAGCTGGTGAGACCTTGTCTTTAGAAGATAATAATAATAATAAAAATAAAATATAAATAAAATAAAATGGCTAAGCATGGTAGCACATGCCTGTATTTGCAGCCACTTGGGAGGCTGAGGCAGGTGGATCCCTTGAGCCCAGGAGTTCGAGGTGGCAGTGAGCTATGATCTCGCCAGTGCACTCCAGCCTGTGCAACAAAGTGAGACCCTGTCTTTAAAAAAAGAAAAGAAAAGAAAAGAAAAAGAATCAGAGCTGCTTTTCCTTTCAATATAGATGGAGGGCTGGGATGAAATCGTCAAACACAATGGGGTGACAATGTTGGTGAAGACAAGAAATAGCTGAGTGCAGCACTGGCGAGGGCAGTGCCGACTGCGGGCACGTCAATGGTTAGGAACACGAGGGAAGGAGGTGGGTGCACAGGCCCACACCGCCCGCTTCACTTACAAACCAGGAGCGCACCATTCACATGTCTGGGGGGTGATCTCAATGCACCCGGCACTGTTTACGGCCGGGAGTTCACTGACAGGTGATCCCTCTGCTGTGACTGGGGAGACTGGGGGCTGACCTCCCAATGTGCCTTGTGCTGTATTCCGGAGCTCTCTGGTCAGGTGTATTCTGATGCTTTCTCTATTCCAGAGCTCTCTGGTCAGGTGTGTCCTGATGCTTTCTCTATTCCAGAGCTCTCTGGTCAGGTGTGTCCTGATGCTTTCTCTATTCCGGAGCTCTCTGGTCAGGTGTGTCCTGATGCTTTCTCTATTCCGGAGCTCTCTGGTCAGGTGTGTCCTGATGCATTCTCTATTCCAGAGCTCTCTGGTCAGGTGTGTCCTGATGCTTTCTCTATTCCAGAGCTCTCTTGTCAGGTGTGTCCTGATGCTTTCTCTATTCTGGAGCTCTCTGGTCAGATGTGTTCTGATGCTTTCTCTATTCCGGAGCTCTCTGGTCAGGTGTGTTCTGATGCTTTCTGTATTCCGGAGCTCTCTGATCAGATGTGTTCTGATGCTTTCTCTATTCCGGAGCTTCCTGATCAGGTGTGTCCTGATGCTTCCTCTGTTCTGGAGCTCTCTGGTCAGGTGTGTTCTGATGCTTTCTGCCTCTGTTCTTGGCATGAAGGTTGGGGCGCTGTGGCCTCTCGCATGAGTGCTGCTTCGACATCTCCTTGGTCCTCAGCAGCAACCAGAAGCTGGTGGAGCTGGACCTGAGTGACAACGCCCTCGGTGACTTCGGAATCAGACTTCTGTGTGTGGGACTGAAGCACCTGTTGTGCAATCTGAAGAAGCTCTGGTGAGTCGAGCCCGTTCCCCTAAGGAAGTTCTGCCAGCGAGGCGTGCTGCGCACTCTGGCTTCAGTGAGGCCCGGTGGGCTGGGGTTTGAGTGAGAATGGCCTTGGCGGCTCGGGTGACTGCGTGTGCTTGTCTTGGGGTGTCTAGCATTGCGGTCAGTGAGTGTTTGTCGTGGGGAAAGCCACACACTCAACCCTGACAAGGAGCATAAATAATAACAAAAAGAAGATGTCTGCCTTTAGGGTGCCTACTGCCTAGCTGACAAAAAGAAAAAATCAGTGTAATGCATTGCTTTAGAGGAGTTTTAGAACTTCATGACAAGCCCTGGGTCCTCATATTGTATAAGAAAAATGGTGCTAAAGCAATGCAGACCCTCGATGTTGTATGCAGCCCTTCCCTGAGTGCTTCTGGGAGACTTGCATTTTGAAGGAGAGAAAAAACCACTTAAAAATGGAAGGGCCATTTCTCACCCATTAGGATGGCTATTATCAAACAAAAGCAAGAAAACTAGAAAACAACAAGTATTGGTGTGGGTGCGGAGAAATGGAAGCCATTGTGTGTTGCTGGTGGGAATGTAAATGATGCAGCCACTATGGAAAACAGCACAGCAATTCCTAAAAAATAAATACAGAATTACTACTGGAGCCAGCATTTCCACTGCTGGGTATATCTGCAAAAGAGTTCAAAGCAGGAACTCAGCCAGGAGCGGTGGCTCACACCTGTAATCCCAGCATTTTGGGAGGCTGAGGCAGGTGGATCACTGGAGGTCGGGAGTTCGAGACTAGCCTGGCCATCATAGTAAAACCTTGTCTCTACTAAAAATACAAAAATTAGCCAGGCATGGTGGTGCATGCCTGTAATCCCAGTTACTCGGGGTGGAGGCAAGAGAATCTTTTGAACCTGGGAGGCGGGGGTTGCAGTGAGTCAAGATCCCGTCACTGTACTCCCGCCTGGGTGACAGAGGAAGCATTAAAAAAAACAGAAGGCAGGAACTCAAACATGTTATTTGTACATCTATGTCCATAGCAACACTATTAGAAATAGCCAAAAGGTGGAAATAACCAAACGTCCTTCAACGGATGAAGGGTGTTGAAAAGTGCTATATATGTACATTCAGCTTTAAAAAGAATTCTAGTACACACTACAACATGGATGAGCCTCGGGGACATTATGCTAAGTAAGATAAGCTAGACTCGAAAGGGCAAATACTCTGATTGTCCTTATAGGAGGTGTCTAGAACAGACAGATTCATAGAGACAGGAAGAAACGTGGTTGCAGGCAATGGGAGGGCGGAGAGTGGGAAGACATTGTTTAATGGTTATGGAGTTTCAGTTCTGCAAGATGAAAGGAGTTCTGGAGATGGTGGTGGTGATGGTTGCACAACAATGTGAAGTGCTTAAGGCCATTAATTGTGCACTTAAAAATGGTTAAAATGGTAAATTTTATTTTACACGTATTTTACCACAATAAAGCTGAATGTAGGGAGCTGGGAAGATGTAGTATTGGTGGGAGCTTGGAGAATGCTTACTTGTTATTCCACCAAATGGAAAAGGAAATCAGAAGTGTACATAGAGCTTGTGTCCACTCCCTTTCCATGTGTAAACTGGAGTAGAGGCAGTGGCAGGTACGGGTGCTTCCTTGTCCATGGTGGAGCGTGGGTGAGAGACATGACTGACATTCTGCCATCTCTATGGAAGGTTGGTCAGCTGCTGCCTCACATCAGCATGTTGTCAGGATCTTGCATCAGTATTGAGCACCAGCCATTCCCTGACCAGACTCTATGTGGGGGAGAATGCCTTGGGAGACTCAGGAGTCGCAATTTTATGTGAAAAAGCCAAGAATCCACAGTGTAACCTGCAGAAACTGGGGTAAGTCTTCATGGGTGTCTTACCAGAAAAGTAACTTCTTTTCAGAGGTGAATTATTTGGAAAATGTGGATGGGGGTTACTTTGGTCAGGCAGAGCTGAAGGTAGAGTAAGGAGGTAAAAACATCAGAAATGCTTTGAAGGACTGGAGGCATATAATGTATACTGCTGCTAATAAGATAATTTATGCTAATTTATGATTATAGAACTAGAGTTTCTTAGTGTTGGAAGAAACCTTAGAGATGGTGCAGCCCAATTGCCTGTTGAGGGAAAAACTTGCTTCCAAGACACTCACATGAATAGTCACCCATTTTATGTGTGCATGCTTGCAAGCATGCAAGTTATCGCATAGTGCATGCAGCCTCTACACTAGGAAAGAGCTCTCACCCTGCAGCCTCTACACTAGGAGAGGACTCTTACACTGCAGCCTCTATATCCTCAACAGTGTCATGGCTCAGCACCTTCACCTATGTAGCCATGCTCTCCCAGGTACACAGGCTGGTTTGTTAGTGTCTGTCTTTGAAATGTGGTGCCCAGACCTGATGATGCATGGTGGATGTTTTACCTCCTGTTGCAGAGAACTATGGTTTCACTGGTGGAATCTCTGATTTCCTTGTTTTTTTTGGCAGTTACATAAGCCTTTTGATTCATGTTGGAATTCTGCAGTAAACAGTAGTAGGGAATACCCACTAATAATCATGCACTTTCCCTGTACCACTTTCCTGTATCACTTTCCCTGTATCACCTGCTCTTTCATGTTCTTACATGGATTTTCTCAGTTGGCTTCAGAAAGATGCTATAGGGTAGGGTATCTGTGTCTCCAATTTAAAGAGGAGAAAATAAAATTCAGGGAGCCTCATAACTTTGTCCAAGGACACTCAGAGAGAAGGTAGTGGAACTCAGTGTAGACAAACGTCTGTGACCTCCCAAGCCACTGCCTTAATTCCCAGTGCATTGCCTTAGGAGATGTTGCTAATGGGCTCTCTACAGGGCTTCTTCATCTGGCTCTCAGCTTAAGGGTGGGACCTCCAATTTAGCTTTGCTAAACCTCATCTTACCTGTCTTTTGACCCATTGACTAGGCAGTTTTGAATCTTCATTCTGACAATAATATCTACAAATACAATAAGCAAATTGGATAGGTCTTCATTCATTCACATTATTAATATATATACCAGCCAGATCAGCATTCAAGACAAAATTTGGCAGGAAAGGTCTTCCCAGAGGAGTAATCCACTAATCCATAATTAACAACCAACCTCTGTTCACAAAGCTCTGATACTTCCTTGGACCTCTCCCATCAGCCAATCCTCAGATGTGACCATATCTCTTTCTATGAAGTCTTCCTGCAGTGCCTTCATTTCCTCGCCTTAGGGTATTACCCTTCCTTAGCAAATCGCCTTAGAATATTACTCTTCCTTGGCAATTTGACTTCTGCTTCTCTAAGTTTGTTCAACAGACATGATTTTGTCCCTTCATTTTGCAGGCCCTCTGGGGGCTCTGTGGTGGGCACTGACAGCAGCAGTGAGTAAAACAGACCAAAATCCTGTTTTCACAACCGTTCTTTTAGGGAAGTGATAACAGATAATAGACATGCTAAACAATATACCCTGTGTATAAGAGCTATAAGAAAAACTGGAGTGACGGCGAGGGGTGCTTCTCTGCTCACGTTTGGCGAGTGCCTCTCCGAGCGGGTGACATTGGAGCAGGTGCTCAGTGAAGCGTGGGATGGGCTGTGAAGGAGCCGGAAGAGCCCTCCAGGCAAAGCAGATGGAACCGAAGAGGCCCAGGCGTAGGCACTCAGGTGACTCTCAGTGATCCTGGTTCCAAATTCCACATGACAAACAAGCCAATTACAAATGTGCCTGATGCATCTGTAATATGCTCTATGTAGTTACTATTGTCAATACCTAACCTGGTAGAGCTGCTGTAATAAAGTATCACAAACAGAGCGGCCTAAACAACAAGAGTTTATTGCCTCTCAGTTCAGGAGGCCAAAGTCTGAGACTGAGGCATCAGCAGGCTGGGTCCTTATAGGTCGTACAGGTCCTTCCCAGTCCTTACTTTAGTTGACATCTGCTGCCTTTAATTCATTTCACTCTTCCTCTTTGGAAGCCTTCTTCGCTCTTATTTTTAGGTCACTACTTAGTCTTTCCTGCTAATGTTATAGCTTCCCCCTCCCTGGATCCTGCATTGGCTTCTCTTCCTGTGGTCTGGGGATTTCACGACTGGTTTAGTTGTGTTTTTTTTTTTTTTTTTTTTTTTGAGTTGGAGTCTTACTCTGTCACCCAGGCTAAAATGCAGTGGCGCAATCTTGGCTCACTGCAACCTCTGCCTCCCGGGTTCCAACAATTCTTCTGCCTCAGCCTTCTGAGTAGCAGGGACTACAGGTGTGCACTGCCATGCCTGGCTAATTTTTGTATTTTTAGTAGATACGGGGTTTCACCATGTTTGCCAGGCTGGTCTCGAATTTCTGACCTCAGGTGATCTGCCTGCCTTGGCCTCCCAAAGTGTTGGGATTACAGGCGTGAGCCACACACCCGCCTGGTTTACCTTTTTTGTTGTTGTTGTTACTAAATATTTCTAAACTCCCTGAGAATTCTCATATACCTCTCAATTTCAACAACAGTAGGTCTCAAACCCAGATATCATTCACAAACTTTTTATTAGAAAAGTAACACATGCTTGGTGTAAACATATCATAGTACAGACAAAGTGGAAAGTGAAAGCTCCTTCTCAGCCCTCTTCTGAGAGAGCCATTTACAATAGTCTGATGAACAACCATCCAGACTTTTTTTAATACAATAGATTGTTATATAATCCATTCATCTGTCCATCCATCCATCCATCCATCATCCATCCCTCTATTTTCCATCCGTCAATCCATCCATCCATCCATCCATCCATCCATCCATCCATCCATCAATCCATCCAAGGGAGTATCAGAGCTTTGTGAACATATATTGGTTGCTAATTATGGACAAATGGATTTCCTGTATATGCTGATCTGGGTGGTATTTATATCAGTAATGTGAATGAAGACCTATGTGATTTTCATGTTGCATTTGTAATACATTGTTATGTAGTATTTTAAATGCCTAGTCTGTTAGAGCTACTGTAATAAAGTATCACAAACAGAGCAGCTTAAACAACAGAAATTTATTGTCCCTCAGTTCTGGAGGCCAGAAGTGTGAGATTAAGATGCTAGCAGGCTGGGTCCTTCTGAGGGCTGTGGGGAATCTGTTCATGCTTCTCTTTGGCTTCTGGTGGAATGTCATCTTGCTGACACATTTTGCCATTCCTTGACCTGTAGATGCCTCTGCCACACCATTGCCTTTATCTCTACGTGGTGTCTTCCCTGTGTCTGTGTGTGTCTTTCTCCATGTCCCAAGTTTCCCTGTGAAAGAACACAAGTCATGTTAGATTTGTAACGACCTGATCTTAACTAATTACATTTTCAGTAACCGTATCACCAAATAAGGTCACAATCTGAAGTACTGGGGCCTAGGACTTCCACATATAAAGTCTTAGAGGAAACAATTCAATCCATAACACCCTATCTATTGAAACTAGAACCATAATATAAATATTTTTCTGTGATATCCTTTTTTCATTTATCATGGATAAATTTCCATGCTGATTTGTGTAGATCTATCGATTGGGGCATAATATCCCATAGTGTGCTTTACCATAATTTATTTAATCAAATCATGCATTTTGGGATAACTGTTCTTTTCCACTATTACAAACAACTCTGCAAAAAGCACATTTGTATATATAGTTTTATGCATGTGTATTTGCTTTGAGATAGGTATCTATAAGTGGCATTAATCAGTCGAGACTTTTATGCATTTTATGTGTTAGGTACAGCCATACATGTGGCTGTGTGTTAGGTATAGCCTATGGGTTAGGCATAGCCTGTGTGTTAGGTATAGCCTATGGGTTAGGTATAGCCTACGTGTTAGGTATAGCCTATGTGTTAGGTATAGCCTATGTGTTAGGTATAGCTACATTTTTTTCTCTCGAACTTTGGGTCCTCATCTCTGGCTGCATATTGTGTACTGCCTGTCTCAATACTGCTCAAGGGTCACACATGCTGAGCATTTGCAACATTGGTTTAATTATCATACCCCACCTTCCACCCCCGTTCTCTGACCTGCTCCTGCCCTCTTCCTCCTGCCTCATTGAATAGTGGGGCTTTCCAGGAGGCTGCTGAGTGAGTAAACGGGGGACGGTCCTAAATGCTCTGCTTTCGGTTCCCTCTACCACTCATCACTACACCAGAGGGAACTTTTTAAGATGCAAATTTGAAAATATTGACCCTTTGTTCAAAAATCTTCAAAAGTTCTTCTCTGCAGTCAGAGTGACATCTTAGCTTGGCACACAAGGCTGTCCCTGATACTGCCCTCTCTCCTGCCATACCTTGCACTCCATTTTGAGTCATATTGGATGAGTTTTGTTTTGCTGTTTTAGAGATGGGGACTTGCTATGATGCTCAGGCTGAATTTGAATTCCTGGGTTCATCTACAGCCATACCACCCAGAGTGCCTGATCTCATCTGCACTCCTGGGCTCAAGCAATCCTCCCGTCTCAGCCGCCCAAGTAGCTGGGACTATAGGTGGACATCACTGTGCCCAGCTATGAATTAGTTTTGAAACATCTTGGTGGTTCTTTTAATCTTCCTTATTCTTGCTACTCTTTTCCTTTTGCCTGGAAGGTTACCCCCACTTTCCCACTTTCTACTATCCATCTAAGAAGCTCCTACTTATTTTTTAATTACTGTGATCCTCATTTTGTCCATTTAAAAGCAGGGATAAAACTAACATTCCCATCTTGAGGTTGTGATCATTCAATGAGATAACCCTGTTTAAAGTCGTCATCCATGTCAAGCACACAATAAATACTCAAAAAATGTTTGATCTTCTTCTTCAGATTCCTTCCTTCCTTCCTTCCTTCTTCCTCCTCCTCCTTTCTTTCTCTCTTTTTCTTTTTCTCTTTCTTTCTTTCTTTCTCTCTCTCTCTCTTTCTTTCTTTCTCTTTCTCCCTTCCCTTCCCCTCCCCCCCCCCTTTCCCTTTCCCCTTTCCTTTCCTTATTTTCCTTTCTTTTCTTTTCTTTTTTTAAGACAGGGTTTTGCTCTGTGGCTCAGACTGGAGTGCAGTGGTAGGATCATAGCTCACTGTAGCCTTGAACTCTCCTGGGCTCAAGCAATCTTCCTGCCTCAGCCTTCTGACTAGCTAGGACTACAGGTGTGTACTACCATGCCTGGGTAATGTTTAAAATGTTTAAAATTTTTTATGTAGAGACAGGGTCTTGCTATGTTGCCCAGGCTGGTCTCAAACTCCTGGCCTCAAGTGGTCCTCCCACCTTGGCCTCCCAAAGCACTGGGATTCAGTTTTCATTATGAGACAGTTTTGTGACATAGGCAGGTAGTTAATAAATAAAAATCCCCAACCAATTAACTTAATACAGTACATGGCAAGATATCCGTGCTTGGTAAATGTAGAGCTCAGTTAGGTGGATTGGTTGAAATCGAGATGTCAATCACATTCCTCTAATCCAAGGATTGGTTGGTGGGACATGGTTGTTTGATTCTTTAAACATTTTATTATGTGTTCAGTGTAACCGTTGCTTAATAGTTACCAGCATTTTCACAATTTGGATATGACGTTTTCTTAACAAAACTGCACCGTCTGTTGCAATTTCTACTACTACTGTGTAGTGCTCCCCAAACATCTGTTGAATAATCCATTCTACTCCTTTTTGGAAATAGTGGTAAAGCCTGCATAACTTTAATTACATAATTTAAAAAATATTTTCTCTTTTCCTCTTTGAAGACCATCCCCATTCTACTAGAATGTCCCTGGCCTTTGCCAGGAATGCTACTAATCCCTTCTGCATGTTAATTAACAACAACCCTCTGATAGAATTCTTACCGGGGATGAGAGCTTAGTAGAAGCCACTCAAAACTTGCTTTGTTTTTGTCTGTCTCTCTTGGGCTTCATTTGCCTATTAGTCTTACTTACTGTGTCTTTTCAGTTTGACTCTTCCTTAATTGGGAAGATAGAAACCAGTGGATGGATAATCACTTTTTCCTGCTGGTCATCTGTTCATGCTTTACTGTCTGAATACACTTTTTCTGTATTTCTATTTTTCCTGCCTCGTAGACACCAAAGAGCTTAAAAAACATGCCATTGCCAAGGACTCTGGCAGGAAGGAGGCAATCACCTGCGCTATTCCTGGCTTCATGGAATAGAAGCATCTGTGCTCCTAGGAATTACGCCACCAGTGATTTTAGAGCTCTTATGCTCTTCCTGGGTGATAGAATGGGCTTAATTTGACTCAAGAATAGTACATCAAAACTCTTAATTCCATCGAGATTGATGCATTTTTGGGGTTTTATGCTCTAAAAGGCCTTTTGCTGTGCAGAAGGAAGAGAGAGGTGGACAGAAAGGGCAGTGGGGAGAAGATGAGACTAAAAGGTGGAAAGTCCAGGTCTGGATCCCTCCCCACCACACACCTGCTCTGTGGCCTTGAGAGAAACATGTAATTTTTATAAGCCTTAGATTTCTAATATGTAAAATGTATGTAATAGTTTTAGCTGCACTCCTTCCTTGCCAGGTTGATATAATAATCAAATAAGACTGGTCTCTGGGTCAGGCACAGTGGCTCATGCCTGTAATCCCAGCACTTTGGGAGGCCAAGGTGGGTGGATTGTCTGAGCCCAGGAGTTTAAGACTGCAGTGAGCTGTGCACTTGGCCTGGGTGACTGAGCAAGAGCCTGGCTTTTTCTATTTATTTATTTATTTTTGAGACAGAGTCTCACTTTGTTGCCCAGGTTGAAGTGCAGTGGCAATCTCGGCTCACTGCAACCTCTGCCTCCCAGGTTCAAGCAATTCTCCTGCCTCAGCCTCCCAAGTAGCTGGGATTACAGGTGCCCACCACCACCCTAACTAATTTTTATATTTTTAGTAGAGATGGGCTTTCACCATGTTGGCCAGGCTGGTTTTGAACTCCTGACCTCGTGATCCACCCTCCCAAAGTGCTGGACCTCCCAAAGTGCTGGGATTACAGGCATAAGCCACTGCACCTGGCCTTATTTATTTATTTATTTAGGCAGGGTCTCACTCTGTCACCCAGGCTAGAGTGTGGCAGCGCAATCATGGCTCACTGCAGCCTCGACTTCCTGGACTCAAGCGATCCTCCCACCTCTCCAACGTGGTTGAGGGCTGCAGCGAGAAAGATGTGAAAGGGGCATTTGGGGGCGCAGGAAGGCGGGAGGTGGCAATTGCTAAGGGCCCCGCCGTGTTCCTGTCACAGCCCTAGCTACAGCTTAGAAGGTCACAATGGACGTTCACCTGTTGTCTTTGATGTTTAAATCAGCACCGACTTCCCATGAGGAGGATTTTTTTTTCCTGTCTCTCTTAAAAAAAAAAAAAAAGGCCCCTGCAGTGTGGGTGTCTGCAGTGTTACGGGGATTATTAGTTGAGGATAACCACTGGGATGTGTTTCTGGAAGAAGTGGTGCTGAGGAGCACTCCTGGCCGGAGGAAAGCTGTGTGAGGAGGAGGAGGAGTATGGGGTAACTGGCTCAGTTTGCCTTGGCTCTTTCTGTCGGACTCATACAGCAAAGCATCTGCTGAGACATCATTTGTGTCTCCTGTGACAGCCAGAGACAGCAGGTCTTGCTCTCCCCAGATCATATCTGAGATGCTGGCTCCTGCTCTCTGAGCTGAAGGCTGCAGCTGCTGAGAGAGGACGAGGCACTGAGTCAAAGCAGCTGCACAATGTTGGGGAACAGCTGGGTACTGAGGACTCTTCTCCCTGTCCTTCTACAGGTTGGTGAATTC